>NC_000014.9:38399591-38702622 GCF_000001405.40 Homo sapiens
GGCAGTACTGTGAGGCATTCTAAGTTCTGGGAGTTGTTAGAAAATGTTGTTCTGTTTGCGACATTGTGATAGCTGTGGGATATCTAGCCCTATTCACTGCATATTTCACAGTCTATTTCACATTTACTACATTTTCACTAACAAAGTTTCACCAACTGTGTTTCCATAAAACGTTTTTAAAAGACTTGAAAGTTTCTTATCACTGAGAGCATCTTTTTTTCAGTAAGATTATTTCTAATGATGCAGGACGAAAAATATGCTGAGTTAACATTTAAGAGTTGACTAGAATAGTCATCTGTGGAATTTCCAAAAAAATATTTAGTCAGAGCAGTGCATTTTGGTGCATTTTATTTCTATTATGCATATAAAAGAATAATTATAATTTTAGCATTTCTAAACATCTTCATAGTCATTATGTAATTTGACCCTTTCTAAGGAAAACACTAATTGTAGTTATTTGTTACGCACATTCTCTGTTCTGAGCTGAAAACGAGGTTGGCATAGTGTCATGGGCAATAATTAATAGGTAAGTATGGGGGATACCTGTTGTGTCTTTTAGAGATTTAATATCACTTTTTTAAAAACAACATTGCATTGTAAAATTAATATTTTATAATTATTATGTACTTTTATATATCATATAAAATTTTATTTCTGCTTTAAATATAGATGGGATCATTTGATCAGTTGTGAAGCACTGAGAAAAATATAAACATAAAATGTTTTACAAGAAAATGGAGAAAGGAGACACAATTTTATTTTGCTTAAGAAGAATGAGTCAGACAAATTGGAAACCTTGACATTGCACAAAGTAGGTAGCATCATAAGAATCAACTGAATTGAGAAGCAGAACAATTTACTATGAAATATAACACAGGCTCTCTTGTGCGCTCACTTTCTCTCTCTTTCTTTTCAAATTTTCTTTTTTTCTTTACATAAGTTTTTAAGGAAGTTCTTTCCTAGCTCTATACTGGGACTGTTTTGCTAGTCATTTAATATTTAAAAACAACTTAAGTCCAAGAAATTAGAAATAGTGATGGCTTTAAATGCAAGTATCTGTAAATCTTACAAAGTACATGTGGATGCAGCAGGCACAAACCAAAGAAGCTATGGATTTGTTTGTACTTATACGCATGATTGTAAATGTGTTGCAGGAAGTAACAAAACATTCTTTTTTAAATTATATACCCCATTTAACAGCCTCGATCTTGCTTTGATTATGAAATATCTTAACTCCCTGGGTAATACAGGGATGAAATCTTACCTGCAGCGTTCCCACATTAGCAAATAGACCACCTGGAAAGTGGACTCAGTTTGTGTTAAGGTCAGTAGAGGAGCCAAGCCAATAACCATGCTGACATTCCAGGGGACAGAGCAGGGAGGGGAGTTAGACCACGGGAAAGGGGCTGGTTAAGAAATGTGAAAATATTGAATTAACTCTTGGATTTTATTCTTCTCTGATAAGTTTAACAAGAAAAGCAAGTTTTAGAATGTAACCAACTCAACTTGATAGAGAAATCCTAGAACTTGGTAAAAATCTCATTGGGAACATGTTGCACAGAAAAGTAATGTGAAAATCTAAGACAAAGGCTATGTGTGAGAGGGAGTCAGAGAGAAGGGAAAAGAGTACAGCACACTGGTAGATACATAATTCTTGTCACATTCTGGTACTTAGGTCTGGGTGGTGTACCTTTGGATATTCATTTTATTAGTGTACTTCATAATTCACATATCAGTGATATGCATGTGTAGACACACAAATTCTTTTGCTTGTGACAATTATTGCATTTTAAAAGATAATGTGAAAAAAAACCAAAGTCAATTATCACTTGGAGAGAGTATCATATATGTTCCCTAAAGATCTAATAACTTAACTTATTTCTAGGGGAAAAAAGATCAAACTTGCCACAATTGTTAATATTTTATTGTTTCTATTAATAACAAAGTTCTGTGTTGTGTTTTTGCTTTTTGCCTTTTTCATTCATATTTATTCTGCATTCTTACTAGCTTTGAATAGCTATTTGCATCTTGCTGCTTTCTTCCATCACTCCTCACCTCAGTCCACTAAGCCCTTTGCTCTTTTTTCCTGGCCTGCAGAACTGTATGGTCTTCCCTGCCTTTGTAAACACTGCTTTATAAACACTACTGTCTGTCCTTGTTGCTAAACGGAGAACACAACTTACATCCTGTCTTTCCCTCCCTCCCCATCAATGTACCTTCTTTGTGGTTCTCTAAGTCTTTGTCTCTGTAATGCTCCATCCTGTTCTTTTTTCACTTATTCTCTAAATGACCATAGAGCACATTTTGACCTTTTTTATGTTTTCCTTCTGCACAGATAAGTTGTTTTGCCTTCGGTCTTGAGAGAATGAAAGCTCATGGGCTGTCTCTACCCTGGCCTGGAAGTCAGATACTTTTCTTTCTTTTTTGTCTACATATTATTGATTGTCAATGGTTGCTTTTCAATTTGTTCTATATTCCTTTTTGCCTCTGCCACCAGCATTCTCCAGGACTGTTCCTTAAACTGTGCTAAATATTGTGTACATCCTCTTGTTAAAAGTCAGCCTATCTATACCCTTCCTTTCTCTCTCTCATACACATATTATCCTAGAGTGTCCAAATGATAGGAAAGTCCTTTCAGGTATTATTTGTTGCACTTACATGTGTCTTCTTTGAAGATTGTGTCTGCCCTGCAACTGGAATGGTCAGATGACTCATGAGGATTTCTCTGAGCCTGGGACATGCTTTTGTAGTCTACAAAGGTGGACCATGTGGCTTTTTATCTTCATTGGGAGATACAATAGAATGCATATATCTTAAACACGAGCACAGATGCTTTTTCAATGTTTTCAAATGTACTAAACAACTAGGAGATCTCAGAAGGTGTCAAGTAACCACTTGCTCTTTAATGAAAATGAATACTTAACACGATGGCAGTGTGAAAATGCCTTTATCACCTACTAAAAATCTCTTCATCTGCTTGATCTGTGAACTATACCTGAGAAGGATTTCTGTTATCATCTTCAGGAAGACAGTCTTATTTTCTGTGTCCTTGCCTGAATAAGTCGGTTATTGTCATAAAACACTGTTCCCACGACTTCAGTGGGATGGGGATATATCCCCCACCCCTCATTGAAGGAATCTCCAAGTCATGGGGCAAAGGGCAAGAATATGGGAAGGAATGAAGGATTGGAAACAAACATGCAATTATTTTACTGTTATTGTCTTCAATCCAAGTAGGGCTTAACACTAATTATTTCAGACATGAAATTCTATATTCTTACTTAAATATTTCCCAGAAAGGTACTTATAATATTTTCTTTATTTTGAGAAAAATCTTTAAGAAAGGGGTTAATTAAAGTTTATGTTTACAGGAAACACAGTAGTTAGCAGGAAATGTCGGTTAACCAAGTAATTAATGGCTACCTGTGGTATACAAGCCACTGGGTAGGATCTATAGGAAATGCCGAGTATAAGATAAGGTCTCCATCCATAGGAAACAGCCACCTGTTACAGGACATCCAGCAGGTGCGGATGAAATTTCACATGAGTATAGTAAGTCACCCCTAGCTGTAGCCAAAGCTGCAGAGCAGATGCCCAAATGTCACAGCGTGTACTTTTGTTAGACAAAAAGGCTCCCACCAAAAGGCTTTTGAATATTTTGTAAAGGATTTAGAGATCAGCTCTGAAAAATTAGTCCACTCCAGGAATGGAGAACTCTGATACTCTCATTTTACCTCACAATTGCCTTCACTGGGAATAAAGAGGACCCTCCTATAACCCTTAAACAGGTCCTAGACAGGTTAATAAACAATGCCCTCATGATCAGAGTTAAAATCATTTATAAACTTCTCTGTTGGACTAGCTTGAGATTTGGGATGGTGATTTCTATTTCTTGCCTTATGTGAGGTTTAGTTTCTAGAGTCTGACAAACATAGAATGTTGGGATTGCTGTTGTCTAACTAGCAGTGAAAAAAAAAAAACAAAATTCAACTATATATCTAAGTTTTTTAGAGAATGGCAGCAGCACTAAAATCTAGGATTTTTTAGACCAACTAGACTACACTGGAATACTATTGGAATCAAACAAATGTACTTTTCTAAGTAGCCGTAAATTATACCTAAATTAGAGCTTTAAATAGTACTTTTTTAAGGCCTAGAAATAATTAAAATTGTTAGGGATAGTTGCTACTCTCTTTTCTTTCCTTGAAGAGCTACATCTTTCGTGAGTCCCAATTTTGTTTATGAACAGAGACCTCACTGGAGAAAAGAAAACCTCAGCAAGTGGAGAAAACATATTAATCAGAAGTTACTTTAAGTTAATTTTTAAAGAGAGAATGAAACCTTTCAATTTGTTTTATTGTATTAAGGAAAGAAAAACACCCAAACATAATAGTCAATTCCCTAACCAATAATAAAACAAATTTATGGACCTGCATACAGTTCTAAGATAGACATTCAATACATACTTGATGAATTAATAAGAAAAACTTGACCATTAGTAGAGAAGAGGAAATGATATATAAGCAATGAGTAATGAAATAGATTAGTAAATCTGATATAACTTGATCTTATTCACTCAGGCCTGCATTCTTCATTTTTAGGGTATGTAGCAATTCCTCACAATGTTTTAGAAACCATTGTGTTAAAACTGGAAGGTTATTAGAGATTACAACTCATACACTTTAAGGGATGGAACGCTTGATTAATGTTCTTTTATGTGAATTTCAAAGTTCTTAGCTGTGTTACTGCAGACTATAAATGACTAATGTCTCTGGATTTTAGAACCCTAAGAAAGCTGGAAATAATTTCATCTAAACTTCTCCTTTTTTAGATGCAAAGTCAAAGCCTAGAAAGGCTTGAGTTTCACAAGTTACATTTCTAGCTGGTTACACACTAGGGCTTAGTGCAGTATTCTTCCTGCAGGAAAATATCAAAACCTATGTTTGACCACTGTTATATCTGCCTTCTCTTGCTCCATATGCTGTCTACAAAATTCATTCATGTTGACATGTGTGTCAGTGGTTTCTTTTAATTGCTCAGTAATATTCTATTGTATAAATACACCATGACCTATTCATCCATTTTCCTTCTGATATGAATTTGAATTATCACCAGCCTTTGGCTGTTGTGAATATAGCTTTTATGAACACTCATATTCAAATATTTCTATGGGAATATGTTGGTATTTTTCCTGGCCAAATATCTAGGGGTGGAATTTCTGGGTCAATTGCTGGATAAGTGTATCCTGATACTTAAAAGAATTTGCTAACAGTTCCCAAAATAGCAAAGCAATGACTATAAAGTTTTCAAAGAATGAGTGTAAACTGAGATTTACGTACCCAGCCACAAAATACAGATCATGTATAAAATCCGAAGACAAACTTTTAAAAACATGCAATGAATATACATTTCCTCAGTTCCTTAAAAAGTGGAAGAGAACAAGCTTTAGCTTTCCAAGGTAAAAGGCATGGGTGTGATCATTAAATCCATTTAACTTTAGGATTTGAAATAAAAATAGTAATTTTTTATTGTAGACCAGAATGTAAATGTCTTCATCCCCCACCATATAGAAATGATTATAATCATAATTTTTGGCAAAGAAGGGAGCGGTAAGGGCAGATTTTGTAAACAGGCTGATCTCTCGTAGCCAAGGGATCCAAAGACATTTAAAATGGAAAAGCAAGAAATAAAGCTGTGAAATGTAAAGATAAACACTAAAAAAGCATAATTAACTTAAATTTAGGTAGTAGAGGCGAAGGAGTGAGGAGGGTTAAAATGGACATGTCTTAAATTCACCTCTAGCTCATAATAGGGAGTCAGTATACGTACTTTAAAAAAGAGAGGATTCAGTTTATTGGACAAAGTTAATCATTAGGAAAAAATACACACTAAAATATTTTTGACATAACAAAAACAGAAGTCATAACATAAAATATGGTGATGGAACTAAAAGCAAACATTTCTGTCATGTCAATAAAGGTCTGAATTTTCCTATGAAAAGAAACAGACTCCTATTGAGCCACAAAGCCAATTCTAACTACACACTGTCGTCAAGAGAAACACACTTAGAACAAAACACCTATACCCAGAGAGAACCATACTCAGTAATGAGGTGCCAAATGAATTCAGTTTATTTCCCATACCTTCCCAATCTGAATGAAGTGAGGGAAGGGGCAAAGCTAGACTATAATTAGCTGGGTAGAGGAGACTTAATGAGCTGTACTCTGTAAGTAAATCTACTGATGCTTGTGTTCTATTTGTTTTCTGCTAAAGATCTTTTTGGAAATTTAGACCTCCCTTTTGCTGACAATAGGGCCAGCCTGTCTGTGTGCCAAGCCCTGTCTGCCCTGCATTCTCCCTCCCCAGGCCTCTGAGCTGCCTCTAGATTAAAGAGACACAGGATGCTTATGGCTGACTGAGAAAAATAAGACTAGTGGTGATCTGATACAACAACAGTCAATTTCCCCCTTCTCCAGAGCAGCAGCTGTGCTCCATTTGTCTTAGCCCTTTCCCAGGGGGCTGCCTGTGTTCTTGTTTATAAGAGGAGGGTTGGGCAGGGTGAGTGGAGTAGACTAGAAACAGAAGTGGTTCAACTTGGCCTTTCATGGAAGGGCATGATTAAAAGAACAGTTGCATGAATATGAATAAAATATATGGCGTTTAATTTGTCTGATTGCATCTTTCATTAAACACATGATAAGCTCCAGCAGAAAGTTCTACCTCCAGGGCAGTATTACTGATATGACTCTGCATTTATCTTAGTATTACTATGGGGAACACTTATGTTTTACAGCCTCATGGTGGTTAGATTTATTCTCAGCTACTGATATTAGAAGAGTGATGACACATTCAGTGGTATTCAAGGACACTGCAAGCAGGAAGGGGTGCTTTACTGCAAACACATTTTAGATATTTGGATTATCCTTGAAATGCAGAGCATAAGGCAATAAAATGCAAAACACTCATCCCTCCTCTGCGCTCATTTTAAATATTCCATGGCCAGGAAAAGAGCCGCACAAGATTCAGTGTGGAGTCTCTACTTTCCCAAGGTGAACATTTTTTCTAAGGAGACTTATGGGCTTTGAAAAGAATGAACCATCTGAAATAAAAAATGCCCTAGGGAAATAATGAAGAATGAATGTTAAAATAAAAATGGTCTCAGTTTCTTCCTCCTATTGCATAGAGATAGAATTCTATGAGACTTGGTGTCTGCACATTATAAATTATTACACAAAGACACATGCATATGCACATGCAGATTAGAATTATTTTTTTCAGATTCCTGGTCTGTCTCATCTCCTAACACAGACATATATGTGAAATCAAGTAACCATTTAATTTTTAAAATTCAAGAATTACCTATTACTTTTGTGGATGGCAATAATTAAATTTTCGCAGAATTCTTGCCATCCACTTTTCTGAGTTTCACTTTTATCTCCTTCCTGTTCTATTAACAGAGTATGCTTTAAAAATTTACATGTGTGGAATAACGTCAGGGAACAACAGAATGAAAATTTATGAATCTCTCCCAACCCTCTTGAGGGAGCTATGACTACCTTTCAGATAGACTACATTTCAGGACCAGATCTCAGGCAAACACTGAACTTCACTCTGCTGACAATTCGAAATCTTATTGTGGGTGACTTATGGCCCAGGATCTTATTATATTCAGAAGATGTCACAGGCAAGAGTGTCAGTCCTGCTACAGGCAGATTATCTGCCAGGTACCAATCCCTACAGAAGGCCAATCCCATGACCCTGAGGCCCATCGGAAGCAAGATTCATTGTAGGTGTTGAGTAATGGGCAAATTGGCACCCTTTCTTGATAGTGGCTAGGGCAGGCTCCTAAGCTATAGGACACTTGCCTTAATTCCACTGCCTGCTGGGGCCCAAGGAAGCCCACAGATCAAGAATGGTCTCTTTCCTATTTACTCTGGCCTAATTCTCATGTCTTCTGTTCACATTCTTTTTTTTTTTTTGAGACAGAATCTCTCTCTGTTGCCCAGGCTGGAGTGCAGTAGCACAATTTCGGCTTGCCACAACCTCCACCACCTGGGTTCAAGAGATTCTCATGCCTCAGTCTCCCGAGTAGCTGGGACTACAGGCGTGTGCCACCGCACTCGGCTATTTTTTTATATTTTTAGTAGAGACAGGGTTTCACCACGTTGTCCAGGCTGGTCTCGAACTCCTGACCTCAAGTGATCTGCCCGTCTCAGCCTCCCAAAATGCTGGGATTACAGGCATGAGCCACCGCACCCGGCCTGTTCGCATTCTTAATTTCAGCGTATTGTCAGTCTCTGAGTCTCTGTCTGAGCCATGGAAACCTCAATGCCTGATTTCAGTATGCCTCCTGCCTAGTCCCTCACCAAATGCTGCAAGCCCCAGCCTCACTGCAACCTCTACTCCCAGTAGCAGAGGTCCAGACACCAACCCTAGGCAACACACAAGCATCCAGGACTGCTTGGTTCTGGAAGCAATGGCCCCAAAGTGTCTCAAATGTTTACAAAGAGAAAATCTAGCCAGGAAGATTCACACCCAATGCTTTGTGCTCATTGCACAGAACACAGAAGAGGAGCTCCTCTTCTCCATGTCCACACAATGACAGCACTTTGTTATGGAGCTATTATTTGTGAAATAAGTGACAAAGGAGAAAAAAAGGCAGGAAAGAAATCATTTAGAGGAAGAAGGAAGAATGTAAGGATTAAAGATGAAAGAGCTAGACAGGCTATAAGAGGAACCATGATGGTGATGACTAAAATGCAGATGAGGAAAAAAAATCGCTCTAAGTGGAAGTCAACTCTATATATAGAAGTGTGGAAAGCCAATGATCAGCTAAAGAGAAAATGGACATCTATGCAACTGGATAGGGCTGGTCATGGGAAAGTTTTAGCAGATAATCACAATGTTCTTCCCTGATACAAAATATCAGGAAGCAGGATGGGTGATATTGAAACATGTAATGTATTTCTAGTCTTTCAAAGTATGGATGGAGCAGTGCCCCATGATGCACTTGCATAAATAAATTAGGGAAACTATATGGTGTTCTCAGTGACTGCTTCTCAGTGAAAAGACAGAAAGGCGTCCTTGTCTTCGACCCTGTGCTCTTTAAAAAGGCAAAAGAGTTTTATGAGGAAATGCAAATGACTGATTCATGTGTATTTTTGGAGGGGTATCTTTGGCATTTTAAAGAGAGTCCTGGTATTAAGAAGGCCAGACACAATGTGAAAAATAGTCAGCAAATGACCATGCTGCAGTAGAATGTGGTGACATTTTCAGAGAGTACATTTCTTAGAACAATTTCTCTCTGTGCACTTCTATGGAGCTGCTGGTACTGCTGAAATCAAGCTCCTCTGGGATACAGTAGGACTATTTTTACATGTGCAAATTGTACAGGCTCTCTGAAATAAAACTACTGAGCTAGAAACTCCATTATCCTGCAACTTCCAAAACTGAAAAACACCTTTACTTACTACTCACATTTCACCAGCCATTGTGAGGATGAATAAATACGTTTATATTGCTTTAATTTTCAGAGTAGTCCATACATACATTTATAGCTCTAAGAAGAAAAGCATTTCCAAATGGTTGGTTGTCCAGGATTGTGAAGTTATTCTACCCACTCAGAGGCAGCAGGATCAGTGTGGAGAATATTTTTAGTACATTCCTTTTCAAAATATACCTCATTGGTTTGACTCATTGTTTTGGAAATCATTCAGAATATCAAATTAATTCTAAGAACAGCTAACATTTACTCCATGCCAGGCCCAGTTTTAAGTGTTTTACATGTGCTCACTCATTTATTCCTCAGTAGGGTAATTCTGCATGGCACCATCGAGATGAGTTCTTCAACTTTGACAACCAATTAGGATTTTGACAGAGCTTCCTGCTATTATGATCAGAAACAGTGAGAAATTAAGCTCATCTCTCAAGTCAGGAGGTCAGAGCATATCCAGCATTAAGCCTTGGAGAACTCATGAGGCTGAGTAATTAAGATGCTTGAAACTGCCAAGTGGCTCCTACTGAGCTTGGGAAGAGTGATATGGACTGTAAGAGCTGTAATATTTCTCTCAACACAGGGGTAAAATATGATCCACACATGAAGAAATTGAAACTGTAGATATTTTAGTAACTAAATACATATCCATGTTTTATTCCAACGTATTAAGAATCTTTTATCAAATGTGCTATGATAATTTTATAGGTAAGTTCTGCCCCAGGGTCAGTCATTTGTGAAGGCAGTCATTGGCCTCACCCTACTAAGTATTATTTACAGTAAATATTACAATAAATAAATTAATTTTTCATCACACTGGGGGTCTAATAAACAGATCAATGAATTTGTAACTAGTTTGCATTTCGGAGGGTGTGGGTGACATCCAGAACCTTATTTTTTAGTTCTCAACAAACTATTTTTGAAATTTTAATAAATTGTGTTGTGTATATTTAAGGCACACAACATGAGGTTCTGAGATACATCTATAGTAAAATGTTTACTATAGTGTAGGAAACTAACATATCCATCATCTCACAAAGTTGCTCATTTTTCCCCTATGACAAGAGAAGCTATAATCTATTCATTTAGCAAAAATACTAAATATGATACACATTATTAACTACGCTATTATCATCAGATTTTTAGGCTTGGTCATATCCGCTACTTTGCATCCTTTGACCTGTCTCTTCCTATTTCCTCCTCCCTCCCCAGCCCTAGTAACCACTTTATTCTCGTTCTTTTTCTAGATTCTACATGGAAGTTAGATCATATAAAGTTTTTATTTTGTGACTGGCTTATTTCACGTAGCATAATGTCCTCCACATCCATGTTGTGGTCAATGGCAGAATCTTTCTTTTTTAAAGGCTGAAAAATATTTATATCTGTATGTGTGTGTGTGTGTGTGGTGTGTGTGGGTGTGTGTGTGTGTATGTGTGTTGCAGTTTTTTAATCCATCAGTCCATTGATAGACACTTAAGTTGTTTCCATATCTTGGCTATTATGAATAATGCTGCAATGAACATGAGAGTGCAGATATCTTGATGAGGTGGTGATTTTATATCCTTTGGGCATATACCCACAAGAGGGATTGTTGAGTCATATGGTAATTCTATTTTTAATTTCTTTAGGGACCTTTACACAGAACATTTTTAAAGATCCCTTACGCCCTAGGTATACTCTAGGAAACAACAGATGTAATCCCCAAGAGGGTCTTCTTTCCTATAATTACTAAAATCTAAAACCACAGTTAATTCAGTAGTTACAGTTACTCAAGGACAGAGGAAAATGCCCATTGGTGCCTCTGTATCAGGGGACTCACCAGTCCCCCTCCTTCCTTCCTCATGGGGTATGTTTTGAGCCACAGGACTTCTTAGCCCATCTGGGTTATATACACCACAGCTTAAAGAATATCTTTCCATATGGTAGAAGTAATTGCCTTTAATTAAAAGTTTGTCTTTAAAAAATTATGTTTCCAGATTGGATTCCAATCATCAATGCCTTTCTACTGTTTACATAATGAGGATAAATTCTGGAATGTGCTCCTCTTCCCACTCTCCTTAAAAATATATCCTGAATTTCAGTGAACAAGATAGAGTGTATCTAGCAGATTCACAGGATAATGAAAGGTGGTTAGAATTTAACTTGAAGTCGAATGGTGAGCCAGTTACTTCCTTTAAACATTTCCCATATTATCCACTAAGAGGCCAGATTTCTGGGGAGAAATATTCATTAAGGCTAACTCTCGAAACTTTTGGCAGCTGCACTTCATTCACAGCTTTCACAATGGCCAGAGGCTAGCAGGAAAAAACAGCCACAGTCCACTGACCTCCCAGGACCATGCTTTCATGGGGCCTAGATAACTGGGTACAGAGCTGTCCTTTCTGCAAATCAGAGGCATCACTTCTCATACCATTACCAGCTAGCCAGTGTGATGGTCATTTGGAATGCATTTGTAATGCTCTAATGTATGAGAATGTAGTTGGATTCAATATATTTTAAATGTATCCAATGAAAATTTGTTTAGTTAGGTTAATTCTTGTTTTTATTAGTGATGTCAACAATAATCAAATGGTATAAAATCACCTCAAGTTAACTTGCTTTTCCATATCCTTTAAATGAGCTTCACTAAGAAATAGCTTTTTCTCTTTCAAGTAAATTATGTAACTCCTTTGCTTTTTCACAGACCTTAATGGGCACAAATTGTACTGGTGCAATATATTGAAAAATCACACAACCAAAATAGAAAAATAGAAAAATGTTTCCTTCTCTCCAATGCTAAAAGTCAAAAAGTAAGCAAAATAGAGGATACATACATAAAAATACAGAATACCTAAAGTAGTGGACTTAACTTAGTAGGAAATATCTTCCTGCAGTGCTATAAAGCGTTACATTTTAGAAGATGCATTTTTTATGGTTATCATTCTAACCAGTTAGAAGAGCAGGATAGCACTTAATTGAAAAATGGATGGCCCTCATCTCAAATGGACAAAGTTTATTATGAACATAACTAAGATACACAAGGAATGAAATTCAAATAGGAGATTCAAGCAGAAACAGGTGTGCAGGTAATTGTGTTGAATGATTCTCCTGTCGATAGCACAGTCTCTTTAAGTGAAGTCTCCTATCCCTGATATTCTGAATTTCTCTAAACCAGACTTGAGCAAAGCTGTTCAGAGAAGTACCAAAAAGTAAAATAAAATAAAATAAATATAACCCACGTATAAGGGGATGGATACACTAGAGTTTATTCACACCTTGGAATACTATATGGTAGTTAAAAATATGTCAGCATGGATAAATTTCAAAAACATAATGTTGGAAGCAGTGGTGATTGAAGGCTCCCATCAAAAAGATCCAAAATAGCGTGCAAATCCTGCACTGGCAACCGAGGTATCCAGATTCTGTCGTTAGGACTGACTAGGCAGCTGGCATGACCCATGGAGAGAAAAGAAGTACAGTGTGGTGCGGTGGCCCACCTGAGAGCCACATGGGGCAGGAGAGCCCCTACCCCCAACCAAGGGAGGCAGCGAGTGAGCATGTTAACCAGTCTGGGAAACCGAGCTTTTTCCAAGGAACTGTGCAACCCATGGTTTGGAAGATCCCACGCAGAAGCCCATGCCACCGAGGTCTTAGCTCTCAACCATGGAGCCGTGCAGATTCTCAACAGCCACTGGGCTAGAATCAGCCTAAGCCTACCGAGTTCCCAGGGAGAAGGGCGGCAATCACTACTGCGGCAGCTGCCTGTGGTCTAAGCCATCTGAGGTCCTTGGGGGAGTGCAGGCAGCCAACACTGCAGCTGCAGGGCCTCCCGGCAAAAATTTCAACGCCAGCCAGGGCTCAGGGACAGAACTATGATCTCCCTGGGCCTGAGCCCCTAGCCAGAGGGGTGGCCATAGCCTCCATGGATGAGCAGGCTTAGTCTTTCCTCCTTCTAGCTCTGAGGAATCTAGGCAGCCCAGGTGACTGGGTTTCCCCCCAGCACAGCACACCCCCTCCACCAAGGGACAGCCAAAGTGCCTTGTTAAATGGGTCTTGCTTCCCGTGCCACCCAAAGGGGTGAGATCCCCCCCAACAGGGGCTGTCAGATATCCTATACAGAAATGTTCCTACTGGCATCAGGCTGCTGCCCCTCGAGGTCAGAGATCCCAGAGGAAGGAGCAGGCACCCATCTTTGCTGTTCTCCAGCCTTTTCAAGTGACATCTCTAGGCACAGGTGTGAACCAGATGAAAAGGGCCTGAAGTGAACTCCCAGCCCTATAGTGAACTGCAACAGCCCTACAGAACAGGGACCTGATTATTGGAAGAAAAACAAACAGAAAGCAAAAACAACATCATCATCAACAACAACAACAAAAAATCCCCACAAAGACCTCATCCAAAGGTCTGCATCCTCAAAGACTGAAACTAGACAAACTCATGAAGATGAGAAAGAATCAATGAAAAAATGCTGAAAACCCAAAAGGCCAGAGTGCCTCTTCTCCTCCAAATGATTGCAATGCCTCTCCAGCAAGGGTGCAGAACTGGATGGAGGATGAGATGGACGAATTGACAGAAGTAGGCTTCAGAAAGTGGTTAAAAACAAACATTACTGAGGTAAAGGAGCATGTTCTAATGCAATGCAAAGAAGCTAAGAACCCGATAAAAGGTTAGAGGAGCTGCTAACTAGAATAACCAGTTTAGAGAGAAACACAAATGACCTGATGGAGCTGAAAAATGTGGCACAAGAACTTTGTGAAGCATACACAAGTATCAATAGCCAAATCAATCAAGTGAAAGAAAGGATATCAGAGATGGAAGACTATCTTGCTGAAATAAGGCAGGTAGACAAGTTTAGAAAAGAAAGAATGAGAAAAAAACAAAAAAAAAAAACCCTGAGAAATATGGGACTATGTCAAAAGACCGAACCTGTGACTGATTGGAGTACCTGTAAGAGATGAGGAGAATGGAAACAAATTGGAAAACACACTTCAGGATATTATCTAGGAGAACTTCCCCAACCTAGCAAGAGAGGCCAATATTCAAATTCAGGAAATACAGAGGACACCACTAAAATACTCCATGAGAAGATCAACTCTAAGACACATAATTATCAGATTCTCTAAGATTGAAATCAAGGAAAAAACGTTAAGCACAGCTGGAGAAAAAGGCCAGGTCACCCACAAAGGGAAGCCCATTGGACTAAGAGTGGATCTCTCAGCAGAAACATTTCAAGCCAGAAGAAAGTGGAAGCCAATATTCAGTATTCTTAAAGAAAAGAATTTTCAACCGAGAATTTCATATCTGGCCAAACTAAGTTTCATAAATGAAGAAATAAAATCCTTTTCAGACAAGCAAATGTTGAGGAAATTCATCACCATCAGGCCTGCCTTGCAAGAGCTCCTGAAGGAAGCACTAAATAGGGAAAGGAAAAACTGGTACCAGCCACAGCAAAACACATGAAAATGTAAAGACCAATGACACTATGAAGAAAAGGCATGAACTAGTGTGCAAAATAACCAGCTAGCATCATAATGACAGGATCAAATTCACATATAAAAATACTAACCTTAAATGTAGATGTGCTAAATGCCTCAATTAAAATACACAGACTGGCAAATTGGATAAAGCATCAAGACCCATCCATGTGCTATATTCAAGAGGCTCATCACACATGCAAAGACATACATAGGCTCAAAATAAAGGGATGAAGGAAAATTTACCAAGCAAATGATAAGCAGAAAAAAGCAGGGGTTGCAATCCTATTTTCTGACAAAACAGACTTTAAACCAACAAACATCAGAAAAGATAAAGAAGGGTGTTACATAATGGTAAAGGGATCAATTCAACAAGGTGTGCTAACTATCCTAAATATATATGCACCAAATACAGGAGGACCCATGTTCATAAAACAAGTTCATAGAGACCTACAAAGGGACATAGACTCCCATACAATAATAGCAGGAGACTTTAACAGCCTACTGGTCAATATTAGACAGATCAGTAACACAGAAAATTACAAGGATTATTCAGGACTTGAATTCAGCTCTGGATCAAGTGGACTTGATAGATATCTGCAGAACAACCCCCCACACCAAAAACAATAGAATATACATTCTTCTCAGTGCCACCTGGCACTTATTCTAAAATTGACCACATAATTGGAAGTAAAACACTCCTCAGTAAATGCAAAAGAACTGAAGTCATAACAAATAGTCTCTCAGATCACAGTGCAATCAAATTAGAACTCAGGATTATGAAACTCACCCAAAACCACACAACATGGAAATCAAACAACCTACTCCTGAATGACTACTGGGTAAATAATGAAATTAAGGCAGATATCAAGAAGTTCTTTGAAACCAATGAGAACGAGGAGACAACACAAGAATTTCTGGGATGGAGCTAAAGCAGTGTTAAGAATGAAATTTAAAGCACTAAATGCCCACATTAGAAAGGTAGAAAGATCTCAAATTGACACATTGACATCACAATTAAAAGAATGAGAGAAGCAACAGCAAACAAATTAAAAAGCAAGCAGAAGACAAGCAATAACTCAAATCAGAATGGAACTGAAGAAGATAGACACACACACACACACACAAAAACCCTTCAAAAATCAATGAATCCAGGAGGTGGTTTTTTGAAAAAAATTAATAAAATAGATACACAACTAGCTAGACTAATAAAAAAGAAAAGAGAGAAGAATCAAACAGACACAATAAGAAATGATAAAGGGGATATCACCACTGACCCCACAGAAATACAAACTACACTCAGAGAATATTATAAACACCCCTACACAAATAAACTAGAAACTCTAGAAGAAATTGATAAATTCCTGGACACATACACTCTCCCAAAACTAAACCAGGAAGAAGTATAATCTCTGAATAACAAGTTCTGAAATTGAGGCAGTAATAAATAGCCTGCCAACCAAAAAAAGCCCAGGACCAGATGGATTCACAGCAGAATTCTACCAGAGGTACAAAGAGAAGCTGGTACCATTCCTTCACAGAAACCATTCCAAACAACTGAAATGGAAGGACTCCTCCCTAATTCATTTTATGAGGCCAGCATCATCCTGCTACCAAAACCTGGCAGAGACATAACAAAAAAAGAAAACTTCAGGCCAATATCTCTGATGAACATCAATGCAAAAATCCTCAATAAAATACTGGCAAACAAAATCCAGCAGCACATCAAAAAGTTTATCCACCACAATAAAGTTGGTTTCATCCCTGGGATTCAAGGCTGGTTCAACATATGCAAATCAATAAACATAATTCATCACATAAACAGAATCAATGACAAAAACCACATGATTATCTCAATAGATGCAGAAAAGGCCTTCAAGAAAATTCAACATCCCTTCATGTTAAAAACTGTCAATAAACTAGGTATCGATGGAACATATCTCAAAATAATAAAAGCTATTTATGACAAACCCACAGCCAATATCATACTGAATGGGCAAAAGCTGGAAGCATACCCTTTGAAAACCAGCAAAAGACAAAGATGTCCTCTCTCACCACTCCTATTCAACATAGTATTGGAAGTTCTGACCAGGGCAATCAGGTAAGAGAAAGAAATAAAGAGTATTCAAATGGGAAAAGAGGACATCAAATTGTCTGTTTGCAGATGACATAATCCTATATTTGGAAAACTCCATGATCTCAGCCCAAAAACTTCTTAAGCTGAAAAGCAACTTCAGCAGTCTTGAGATGCAAAATCAATGTGCAAAAATCACAAGCATTTTAATACACCAATGGACAAGCAGAGAGCCAAATCGTGAATGAACTCCCATTCACAATTGCTATAAAGAGAATAAAATACCTAGGAATACAGCTAACAAGGGATGTGAAGGACCTCTTCAAGGAGAACTACAAGCCACTGCTCAAGGAAATAAGAGAGGACAGAAACAAATGGAAAAACATTCCATGCTCATGAATAGGAAGAATCAATATTGTGAAAATGGCCATACTGGCCAAAGTAACTTATAGATTCAATGCTATTTTCATCAAACTACCATTAACATTCTTCACAGAATTAGAAAAAACTACTTTAACATTCATACGGAACCAAAAGAGCCAGCATAGCCAAGACAATTCTAAACAAAAAGAACAAAGCTGGAGGCATCACACTATCCAACTTCAAACTATACTACAAGGCCACAGTAACCAAAACAGCATGGTACTGGTACCAAAACAGACATATAGACCAATGGAACAGAATAGAGACCTCAGAAATAAGACCACACATCTACAACCATCTGATTTTCAACAAACCTGACAAAAACAAGCAATGGGAAAAGGTTTCCCTATTTAATAAATGGTGCTGGGAAAGCTGTCTAGCCATATGCACAAAACTGAAACTGGACCCCTTCCTTACACCTTATACAAAAATTAACTCAAGATGGATTAAAGACTTAACTGTAAAACTCAAAACCAAACAAACCCTAGAAGAAAACCTAGGCAATACCATTCAAGACATAGGCATGGACAAAGATTTTATGATGAAATCTCCAAAAGCAATTGCAACAAAAGCTAAAATTGACAAGTGGCATCTAATTAAACTAAAAAGCCTCTGCACAGCAAAATAAACTATCATCAGAGCAAACAGTCAACCTACAGAATGGGAGAAAATTTTTGCAATCTACCCATCTGACAAAGGTCTAATATCCAGTATTTACAAGGAACTTAAACAAATTTACAAGAAGAAAACAAACCACCCCATTAAAAAGTGGGCAAAGGATATGACAGACACTTATCAAAAGAAGACATTTATGAAGCCAACAAACATACGAATAAAAGCTCAACATCACTGATCATTAGAGAAATGCAAATCAAAACCACAATGAGATACCATCTCACATCAGTCAGAATGGCTATTATTAAAAAGTCAAGAAACAACGGATGCTGGTGAGGCTATGGAGAAATAGGAATATAAACTGTGTGGCAATTACTCAAGGATCTAGAACCAGGAATACCATTTGACCCAGCAATCCCATTACTGGGTATACACCCAAAGGAATATAAATCATTCTAAAAAAGATTAAAGTTTTAAATATTGATTGGGAACTTCAGACATTTGTAAATGAAATGGTCCATGAACTATTATATCACTATTATTTCTGTCTAGTAAAATAACCATTTGAAAATAAAAAAACATAATGTTGAGTAAAAAAAATTGATAAGCAAAAAGATAAATATATAATAATATATACATAACACATAGATATACACTCACATTTAAAACACACTGCAATAGTATATAGTCCTTATGGATACAACCATCAATAGAAGAAATATTTACAAATATATGGGGATAACCCACTGCAACTCCAGAATAGTGATTATCTTTGGAGAGGAATAAAAAGGATGAAAGGGTTAGAATCTAGATGTCACTATAAAATTTTATTTTGACAGAAAAAGATAAGTTACAAGCATGACAAAATGTTAAAATTTGTTAAATCTGGAAATCAGATAAATGGATGGATATTATTTTATGTTTTGCCAGATTGAAAGATTCTATTAAAAATTAAATCAAATACTCTACATATGTTTTACTATAGTCATCTGAGTATATTAGCCTATTATGACTAGAACTGAACTGTATCTTGTTTTCACACATTAACTACATAGTTAGAACATTATAAACACATATGTTCTCTCATTTTCCCACCCAAACCAAGGTAGGATAAAGTTCTCAGCTTTCCTTTACCATGACACGCCCCCAACCAAAACACTACTCTCAAACATTGCTACTTTAGCTTAGGCTATTTGTGAAATTCTCAGCCCCATCTAAAAAAGTAAGGAGCAATCTCCTATTGAATATCAGATTTTCCCAGTGTCTTAATGACAGCACAAGTGTCATGAGTTATATCCTCACGGTCTAAAATAAATTTTAAAAGATGTTTAACATTCAGCTGGAAGGAAACTTAAACATCACTAAAACATAGCTCATAATTATAGCAATTTAACATAGGAAAATTCATAATTAAATGCGTCCTAAGCAAAATTGTTTTTAAAATGAATTAACCGTATACTAGTATAATACATTTATATGAGGTTGTAGCTTACCCAACAGAATGATCAATTTTAAAAGTAGTTGAAAATTATATTAATGTATAGAAGTGGAAAAATGGTTATTATTACACTAAGAAAAACTATATTTTTGATACTATATGGTACAATGTTAAAATTTACACATCCAAAGAACAGAAGTTTTATTTGCCATTGTTTCATAGGATTTAACAAACCCTAGAGAGACCATAATTCTGGAAATAATATGAAATCATGATTTACTTATTCTAAAAACCAAATCTTTGATTTCAAACAAATAGAGTAGAAGTGAGTGTCATGACTTATGAGAAAGATTCTGTGATGTTTAGAATTCAAACATTCCTGGACAATCGATAAGGAACAAATAAATTAGAGGGAAGTGTAGGATGGGTTATGGTTTCGATTCTTATTTCTGGGTAAGAAAGATAATAAAAAATTTGACATGAGCTCATAAGCACCTCATTATGTTATTTGAACCTATTGGACATACTGAATGTTTAAAAGGTACAGATACATTGTCTGCTTTCCACTTATTTGTGCCATGTTTCAAAACATAATGAAACAAAGAAAGCTTTGTGCGAGCTGTTTAAATAGATTCAGCCTTGTGGAGGTGTTAAACAGCGAAATTCCTCAGGAAACTCAACCATGCGTTTTGTGCCTTATCAGCTCTGCATAAATAATGCAGTGAGTCTGCCAAATTAAGAATCTCATAATAGGTTGTTCAGATGGTGTTATTAGTAAGAGACTGGGATTGGACTGTGCTCTGCTGCGGGAAATGGGTAGATGACATTGGTGCGTAGGGAAACTGCACATTAGTGGCAAGAACACAAAATTTAAAATGACAGAATAAGTGTGAGATGGAAAAACAGACAATGAAAGGATTTGAAAGAAACAAAAAAGATTCTCTTAATTAAATGTGATTATGCTTCTGTTACTTAAAAAAAGGAAATAAGAGTGGTATTGGGACTTATTTTTCTGATGGTTACAATTAAGCAGTGGGATTTTACCCCCACCTCCCATCTTCATTTCTTTTAAACTTTCATTTTTGGTGGATGAATGCTAAAGTAGGTCTCAGACATGACTAATTTTAGCCTGGAAGCTATAAGAAATAAAAAGAATTTTGGAATGAAGGTTGTGAAATCAATCACTGGAATTTCTGCAAGTAATAACAGCATGCAGCTCTATTAAACATTGATAGATTCCTCTCCTAGATTTTTTAAAACACCATATGTAATACTTACAGAGACAGGGTACTTGCAGTATAAAAAATTCTAAGTAGCCATTTTATTAAGGTCAAAATTGCAGAATAATATTTCAGTTCCTAGGGCATCTTTAGAGTTTTGTTTTTGTTGTAGTTGTTGTTTTTATTAAAGCACTTCTCAAAATTACATTGTCATTTTAAAAATAGCAACTACACTTGAATACTATCAATGTTGTAATTCATTAGATTCCTCTTAAAGGTGTTGCTTTAAATTGATGGCTCAGATTTTCTATAGCTATTGTCACCGTCAAATAATTCAGAAAATGATTATTGAACAATTAGTGTATATGAGAAAATGTGATAGATGCAGGGGTTGGAAATGAAAAGAATCTTGTAGCTTAACCCTTGTATTTAGGGAGCTTAATGTCTAATAGATATTTGGGGAATGAATGACTAGGGAAGGCTTTATGGAGAAAGTGGAGGTCAGACTGGGCTTTGAAGGATTCTTCAGATTTTAAAAGCCATGTCCAAAAGAAAAGAAGGACATAGGTTCTGAAAACTTAAGAGTTCTAAGTAAGAAGAGACAGCTTTGTTTCAGGCCCAGCAAAGGTGCTTGACATCATTGATCACCAGAGAAATGCAAATCAAAATTGCAACGAGATACCATGTAACCCCAGTTAAAATGGCTTTTATCTAAAAGTCCTGCCCACCTGCATAAAAAGAGGAAACAATGCTAGAAATCAATTTATATCTAAAATACAGGTATGAATAAATTAAACCAGAGTATTTGAAATAAGAACATGCAGAAAGTTCTAAAATAAATTAGCCATTCAAAACTCAGAACCTCAGACACCTAGAGGGATCACTGAATTATTGCAATCAGTCCATGAATGGAATCTGAGCCCAGGCACAGACTTAATAAATATTATCAATTGCAAATTTGCACCACTGTCTTTTGAAGCCTTTGTGAATGATAACAAATGTATTCACTTAATAGCAATGCTGCATTTTCTCAATGTAGTTACACTGAAAGAATAATGACTGGAATTTTGTATTATTTCATGGCTTTGTTCAAATTAAATAAACCATATATAAGTATTATACTATAATTATAGTTTTTTAAATAATACATTAAGTTTTTGTGTGTGGGTACAAGTATGCTTTATTTATGGGGTACATATTTTGATATAGGCATATAATGCATAATAATCACTTCAGGGTAAATGAGGTATTCATCACCTCAAGCATTTATCCTTTCTTTGTTTTACAAACAATCCAATTGTACTCTTTTAGTTATTTTAGAATATACAGTAAATTATTGTTGACTGTAGTCAACCTGCTGTGCTATAAAATACTAGACCTTATTCATTCTACCTATATATTTTTTCAATTTTTTAAATATTTATTTTTGGAGTATACGGTAGGTGTATATATTTATGTGTTACATGAGTTATTTTGATAAAGACATGCAATATGTAACAATTATGAGAGTAAACCCATCACCACAAGTATTTATCCTTTGTGTTTCAAACAATCCAATTATACTATTTTAGTAATTTAAAAATATACAATAAAATTATTTTTCTACTGCAGTCACCCTGTTGTGCTATCAAATACTAGGTATTATTCATTCTTTCTATTTTTTGTACTCATTAACCATCCCCACTTCCCTCCTCCTCCCACTATGCTTCCAACCCCCAGTAAACATCCTTCTATTCTCTGTCTCCATGAGTTTAATTGTTTTAATTTTTAGCTCCCACAAATAAGTGAAAACATGTGATGTTTGCCTTTCTGTGCCTGGTTTATTTCATTTAACATTATTAACTTCTGATCCATTCATGATGCTGCAAATGACAGGATCTCATTCTTTTTATGGGTGAATAGTACTCCATTATGTATGTGTACCACATTTTCTTTATGCATTTATCTGTTGAAGGATACTTAGGTTGCTTCCAAACCTTAGCTATTGTGAATAGCACTGCAATAAACATGGCAGTGTAGATATTTCTTCAATATATTGATCCCCTTTCGTTTGGGTATATACCTAGGAACGGGATTGCTAGGTCATATGGCAGCTATATTATTAGTTTTTTGAGGAACCTCCAAACTGTTCTCCATGATGGTTGTACTAATTTACATTCCCACCAACAGTTTACAGAAGTTACCTTCTCTCCAAATACTCACCAGCATTTGTTATTGCCTGTCTTTTGAATATAAGCCATTTTAACTGGGCTGAGATGATATCTCATTGTAGTTTTGATTTGCATTTCTCCAGTGATCAATAATGTTGAGAACCTTTTCATACATCTGTTTGCCACTTACATGTCTTCTTTCGAGAAATTCTAGTCAGATCTTTTGCCTGTTTATAATGAGATTATTAGATGTTTTTCCTATTGAATTGTTTGAGCTTATTATATATTCTGGTAATTAATCCCTTTTCAGATGGGTAGTTTGCAAATATTTTATTCAATTCTGTGGTTGTCTCATCAATTTGTTGACTGTTTCCTTTGCTGTGCAGTTTTTTGACTTGATATGCTCCCACTTCTCTGTTTTTGCTTTGGTTGCCTCTGCTTGTGGGTTATTACTCAAGAAATCTTTCCCCAGTCCAATGTTTTCTAAGTTTCATAATTTCATGTCCTAGATAAAAGTCTTTAATCTGTTTCATTTTATTTTTGTATATAGTGACAGATAGGGGTCTAGTTTCATTCTTCTGTATATGGATATCCAGTTTTCCCAGCACCATTTATCAAAGAGATCATCCTTTCCCCAGTGTATGCTCTTGACAACTTTGTCCAAAAGAGTTTGCTTTAGATGTATGGATTTATTTCTAGGTTCTCTATTCCGTTCCATTGGTATATGTGTCTGTTTTTATGTCTCTACCATGCTGTTTTTGTTACTATACCTCTACAGTATAATTTGAAGTCAGGTAATATGATTCCTCCAGTTTTGTTCTTTTTGCTTAGGATAGCTTGGATTATTCTTGGTCTTTTGTGGTTTCATACAAACTTGTTTTTTCTATTTCTGTGAAGAATGTACTTAGGGATTGCATTGAATCTGTAGATTGTTTTGGGTAGTGTGAACATTTTAACAATATTGACTCTTCTAATCCATGAACATGGAATATCTTTCCTTTTTGTGTGTGTTTCCCCTTTAATTTCTTGATTCAATGTTTTACAGTATTTCTTGTGGAGATCTTCCACGTCTTTGGTTAAGTTTATTCTGAGATATTTTATTTGTAGTTATTGTAAATGACAATACTGTCTTGATATCTTTTTCAGATTTCTTACTGATACCATATAGAAATGTTCCTGATTTTTGTATGTGGAGTTTGTATCCTACAACTTTATTGAATATATTTATCAATTCTAATAGATTTCTTATGGAGTCTTTATCATTTCCAAATATAAGGTCATATAATCTGCAAACAAGGATAATTGGACTCCTTCCTTTCCAGTTTGGATGCCTTTTATTTCTTTCTCTTCTCTGTAGCTAGGGCTTTCCAGTACTACACCGAATAACGCTGGTGAAAGTGGGCATCCTTGTTGTGTTCCAGACCTTAGAGAAAAGGTTTTCAGTTTTCCCCATTCAGTATGATACTAGCTGTGGGTCTGTCATATATGACTTTTATTTTGTTGACTTATGTTCCTTCTTTACCCATTTTTTAAAAGATTTTTTCATGAAGGGATGTTGAATTTTATCAAATGCTTTTTCAGCATCAATTAAAATCATTTTTTCTCATTTCACTTTTCAAATGAAATTTTTTTCTTTCATTCTATTGATATGATGTAATACACTGATTGATTTGTGTATATTGAACCATCCTTGCATTATGGGGTAATTTCCAGTTGGTCATAATGAATGGCCCTTTTATTGAGTTGTGGAATTTGGTTTGCTTGTATTTTGTTGAGGATTTTTGCATTATTGTTCATCAGGGATACTGGCCTGTAATTTTCTTCTCTCTTTTCCTTTCTTCCTTTTTCTTCTCTCTCTCTCTTCTTTTCTTTTCTCCTCCCCTTCCTTCCTTTCTTTCTTTTTCTTTCTTTCTTTCCTTTCATGTGTCTTTGTGTGCTTTTGGTGTCAAGTAATACTGGCCTTGTAGAATAAGTTTACAAGTTTACCACTTCCTTCATTTTTAAAAATTAAGCAGAACTGGTATTAGTTCTTGTTTAAATGTTTTGTAGAATTCACCAATGAAGCAACCCAGTCCCAGGCTCTTCTTTGTTGATAGACTTTTTATTGCAGCTTTCATCTCATTACTTGTTATTGGTCTGTTCAGGTTTGGAATTTCCTTCGTGTTTTAATCTTGATAGGTTGTATATGTCTAACAATTGATCCACTTATTCTAGGTTTTCTAATTTATTGGCATATGGTTGCTCATATCAGCCTCTAATAATACTTACTGAAGTATCAATTATCTCCTTTATCATATCTCATTTTATTTATTTTGGTCTTCTCTCTTTTATTCTTAGTCTGGCTAAATGTCTGTCAATCTTATTTATCTTTTTAAAATACCAATTTTTGTTTAATTGCTCTTTTGTATTTTTTCAATTCATTTATTTCTGTTCTGATCTTTATTATTTCTTTTTTCTACTAATTTTGGGTTTGGTTTGCCTTTGCTTTTGCAGTTGTTTATTACG
Source organism: Homo sapiens (assembly GCF_000001405.40). Classification (NCBI taxonomy): domain Eukaryota; kingdom Metazoa; phylum Chordata; class Mammalia; order Primates; family Hominidae; genus Homo; species Homo sapiens. Next base: position 38,424,963 of record NC_000014.9, read on the forward strand.
CATCACTGGAAACTATACAGGCCAGTGTAATTCTTTGAGACTAGTCTGCTGCTAGACCTGTTGGAGCTCCTTTGTATGTTATTTGTTTATTTTCTCTTGCAGAAGGGATATCTCTCTACAGCTATCACAGCTGGGGATATGCTGGGTCACAACTTAAGCCAGCACTGCTCTGAGTCTCACCCAAGCCTTTCAGCAAGTACTTCCTGGGTACCACGGCTGATTATTCAAGACCCAAGGGCTTTTTAGTCAGCAGATGATGAATTCTGCCAGGACTGGGTTCTTCCCTTCAAGGCTGCAAGTCCCTTCTGGCCCATGGCGTGTTTAGAAAAGTCATCCAGAAGTTAGGGCCTAGAATGGTGGTCTCGCAGTTCTGCCCCATGTCCTAACCTACTGTAGCTGAGCTAGTATCCGAGTTACAAGACATCGCCCTCCTTATTCTTCCTTCATCCCTCCTCAAGCAGAGAAAAGGAGTCTCCCAGAGCTGTGGGCTGCACTGCCTGGGGTTGGGGGAGGTGCAACACAAAGACTCTTGGCCACCCTGGCTGGTATCTCATTAGATTGTGTGCACCCCAAGTCCACTGGCTCCAAGCTAAGCACAGCACCGGGATCTGCCCAGGAATTGCAGTCTTTGTGGCCTAGGCTGCCTTTCAAGTTTATTTAGAACCCCAGAGCATTTTAGGTTATGGTGGAGGGACTTGCCAGAACTCAGATTCCAACTGCTGGGATGGACAATTTGCCTCTGGCCAGGTCTGGTCTAAATGCTTCCTCTGTGAGCCCTGGCTGAGTTCTGTCCCATGTTGCATTCTGCTGTGACAAGGCAGTACTGAGTTCCAATACAAAGTCCACAATCACTGTGCTCTTCCTCCCCCAAGCACACACTCTTCCACTGTCCCACACAGCTGCTGCTGGGGGATGTCAGTGATTCAAGACTGTCTTTTCAATCCTCTTCAGTGCCTCATTCCTTAATATGTTAAAACCAGATACTGTGATTGTTCACCGGATTTTTGGCTCTTATAAAGGTGCTTTTACGTGTGGATAGTTGTTCAATTTGGTCTTCCTGTAGAGTGGGGAACTATTTCTAGAGGCCTCTATTCAGCCATTTTGCTCTGCTTCCTCTAATTATAGTTTTTAATTAATATATTATGAATATATGTATATATGAACAAATATCCAGCTTATAAATCATTTTAAAATGTTGACCAATATTTTGTTGTATTCTGTACTTTAAATATTCCCCTATTATTGAAGATTTAAGTTGTTCTAATATTTCACTATAATAAACAATGCTGTTACAAACATTCTTGCCAGAGCTAAATATGATTTACATCCTTAATTACTTATTTAGGATAAATTCCTAAATGTGAAATTGCTAAATCAAAACATGTATGTTTTTAAGGATTTTAATATATAGTGCTAAATTGACTTCTCAAGCATTCTATTATTATATACTCCTTCCATAAAACTATGAGACCACTAGTTTCCCTGCTAATGTGAAACAATATTATATCTTAAAAAGGAGCACTTTAGAAGTCTCCAAGCTGCAGCTGAATGTTAGGTAAAGTACACAGAGAATCACAACATATTCAAATGTCTTTTGCATGAGTCTCAGATCAGCAGGCAGATTTACTATGAATGTCAAGAACTGCATATAGTATTTATCATCGTCCACTCACACATATTTCTAAGAGATACTCAATTTGTTGAAAGCCCTTTTCTTCTGCTTAGTCTCAAAGAATTACAACCCAAGGTGCACTGAAAAAGAAATCAATACAGTATAAAATTCCTATTCTCTCAATATGCGCAAACGTGAGAAAATCAACGTTGCCTTGAAGAGAGTCTTGTTACTTCAACAGGAGCTGTATCTACAAAGAAGAGAAAGAGATGAGCAAAGATATTGGCTCTAAAATGTGGTAGCATTCTTCCAATTCATCCACAAAGAAGAGAGCCATAGAATTGAAATTTTCATCAGTTTGAGGAACCTAGAAAAAGTGCCTTCTGAATATACATTCACTTTTTTCTGTACATAACAAAAACATTGATTTATTGGATCTGGTTATAGTGATTAAAAATCCAAAAATTTTTGCTTCCATTTGATTTATTTAAGTGATACCTATTCCATTTCAGATAACTGGAAACTATCCTTTGAAAGAAAGTGTAGGGCTCAGAAGCTTGTAGGAGTAATTTGTATTAATTACACTTTGAGATATCTAACTACTCACACATTTTAATGACATTCACATAAAGCTATAAAATGAAAACAATAAATATTTCTTCCGAGAGAGAGAGATAAAGATAATGTAAACAGGTATGAGAGAAACTGAGATTTTAAAAAATTGAAGTTCTTTATGACTTAGATTCTATATTTAATTCTATACCTAGGTCCTTTCTACTGATTTGGTAACCTATCCTGCTTTCCCTCAGAAATGTCAGGTCATCCTGTCCTGATGCTGCTCTGTTTATTAGGCTCCAGTTTCCCCTATAAATTCACAAGGTGTAATAAATGAACCTCCCCCAGTATCTGTTTTTGTGTGTGTGTGTGTGTGTGTGTGTGTGTGTGTGTGTGTGTGTTTTCCCTAGAGAGAGGAACTCTAAAAACCCCAGGCAAGAATTCAAAATCACTTTGTTCAAATAAACTGACCATGGAAGAAGGTTTGCCTTTCTGGACTATTATTGAAATCCTTCAAGGATATAGACAAGTCTGCAGAGCAAGGGGAATAGGACTGAGCCTTAAGGAAGAAGAGGTGAAATAGTTCAAGTTCAGCAGATGTTATTAAGGCTTGAAAGTTACAGAGCAGCTAAAAGGATTTATAGAAGTTCAAAACAGGCTGGGATGTAAGAAAGAGAAATATCAATACAACATCTTAAAATGAAATAATCTAGACAGATAATAGAAGTCGCTGCCCTAAAATACAAGTTACCAAATTTGACCTAAATCATAAACACTTATCAATCAAGTTTTCCTCAAGAATGAATGTGATGCCAACGTCTTGCATTATGATGATATTGACAACTGAGATTTATTGGGAAATTGTTGGAAAAATCAGAATTTACAGAAAAGTTACAAACATAGTACAGAGAATTATCTTATGCCGTTTATCCTATTGTTAACATCTTTACAGTCCCATAGTACCTTTGTCAATTACAAGAAACCAACCTTAGGCTGGGCACGGTGGCTTAAGCTGGTAATCTCAGCACTTTGGGAGGCCGAGGAGGGCAGATCACAAGGCCAGGAGATCGAGACCATCCTGGCTAACACGGTGAAACCCCGTCTCTACTAAAAATACAAAAAATTAGCTGGGTGCGGTGGCAGGTGCCTGTAGTCCCAGCTACTAGGGAGGCTGAGGCAGGAGAATGGCATGAACCTGGAAGGCGGAGCTTGCAGTGGGCCGAGATCGCACCACTGCACTCCAGCCTGGGCGACAGAGTGAGACTGTCTCAAAAAAAAAAAAAAAAAAGGAGAAAAAAAAAAGAAACTAGCCTTTGTATATTGTAACTTTACTCAGGTTTCACCAATTTTTTCCCAACCTACTTTTACTATTTCAGGAGTCCATTGAGGTTTCCACTTCGTATTTAATCATCATGTCTCCTCAGGCTCCTCTTGGCTGTGACAGTTTATTAGAATTTCCTTGTCCTTTCTAATTATGACAGTTTTGAGAAGCACTGATGAGGTTTTTAATTTTTGTTTTTTGTTTTCCTGAATATATCTCAATTTTGATTTTTCTGATATTTCTCTTTTTTCTTTTCGTTACTTTTCTTTTTGAGACAGGGTTTTGCTCTGTCACCCAGGCTGGAGTGGTGCCATAGCACAATCTTGCCCCACTGCAACCTCTGTCCCTCCCAGCTGAAGAGATCCTCCGACCTCAGCCTCCCAAGTAGCTGGGACCACAGGCATGCACCACTATGCCCAGCTAATTTTTTTGTATTTTTAGCAAAGACAGGGTCTCCCCATGCTGCCCAGGCTGGTCTTCAACTCCTGACCTCAAGCAACCTGTCTGCCTCGGGCTCCCAAAGTTCTGGGATTACAGTTATGAGCCACTGAGCCCAGCCTGACTGATGTTTTTCAAATGGTTAGACCAGGGTAATGGGTTTTACTGAACAAACCCCAGAGAGGTAAAGTGCCATTCCCGGAACACCCACTTATTTTTTTAAAGATAGAATTAGATTTTCCCAAAGCTTTTGAAACATTTTTTCTGTGATTTCACTTCCTAATTAAAATTCAAAGTCTATTATAACACATTGATATCAACAAGGCTGCCATGACCTTTTTCATCAAGAACTTTTTGAATCTGGAGTTGTGACTCTTTACCTCAGCAGTGATATTATTTCTCTCCGATGGAGAAACTTAACTGCTGCAGTGCTGTGTGTAAGTCCTAATTCAACTATGAGAAGATGACTGAAGGAAATACAAATTCAAAATGACTGAATGATACAGACGCTACCCTGGGTGACCATCTGACATTCACTCTCAATTTTTGTTCACTGTGCCTACCTCCCACTTTCAGGGTGTAAAGGTCAGCTCCTCACTTTCCCAGCCACTTTTGCATTTGATTCACTGCTGGCCTACAAGGCGAAAGCTATCTCTTGGGGTATTCTAGGAAATAAACAGTTTCTCCTAGATAAGAGGCAAGAGGCATGGCAGAAAAGCCCTACTCTCACCCATTCTGATGTGGATGTGTGAAGATGAGTGAATTGAAACTGTTTCAGCTATGAGGCAACAGCCTAATATGAAAACCCAAATGCTGAGAATGAGAAAACAGAAGATGGAAAGAGAAAGAGCCCAGATTCTAGAAGATCTCATGGAGCCAGAAAATTAATCTTAGGACCACTACATGAACTCTTGATATCCCTGCTAGTCATCAGATTTGCAGCCCAAAGCATCCTTACATGGATCAATATTTGGCATTTCTCATGTTAACTTAGAGAAGATAAATTGGTAAAACACAGACATGTTTTGTTTTGCCTACACAATTTTAAAAAGAAAGCTGGTCTTCTCTTTAAAATCAGTCAGTTTTACAGAAAAATAAATTCTCCCTCCCTTTGAAAGATCAGCAAATCTGGCAACACGTGGATCACAGGTATAACTGCCAACAATTACCTGGAACTAGGTAGCAACTGCCACTTTCAGATGTGACCTGTGCTCTGCTCTTCAGCTCTTGTAGGCATCTGTGAAAAACCCTTAATATCAGGCTTTAAGACAAATTTCTATGGATGCCCCTTTTGACTTTCTTTTCAATTTTGCATAAGAAGAATGATCTTTAATTTTGGAAGAATACACCCAATGAAAATAATAGAAACATCACTCTGACAAATTTTCAACCCCTTTGTGATACTATATCTCCTTCTTTTCTCTTCCTCTTTTCCCTGCCTTCTGGCCTCCCACAGAGCTACTGAGGAAAAACGAGTTAAGATTAGCTTTCCAACTAACATTTCTAAGGTGTTTTACTTAAGCAAGAAGCTCCTGTAGTCAGTCAGGAAAAAATTTAAACTCTTCATAAATCTATTTACCCGCTCTAGAAATGCACCCAACTCATTATTTTAAATGGATCCTAACAAGAATTTACAGTTTAAGTTTCCTAACTAAAGAAGTGCAATGCATACTTATAAAACATGTTCCAGTGGTGGATGCACAAACGTGACCCTTGGATTATAGCTTTTTTTAATGGGGCATTTTCCATATCACCAAAAAGAATGAGAGTGGGGAGACTGTCCAGCAAAATGTGCTGAGCCATCAATGAAATTTCTATGATTGGGAAGATAAATATGATGTCATTATTGATAAAGCTATTTGATAGGAGGAAGGCTAGGTTTGTTATTGCTTCCACAAAGAGTAAGCACGACACTTTTTTTAAGTGAAATTCTTGAGACTTGCCTCAATATAGAAGCATCATCTTCAACATCATTTCCTGACCTCAGCAGAGGCCTCCTTGCAGCAAACCCTCCAGTGCATCAGCTACAGAGGTCAGAAACACACAACACAGGAAATGTGAAAAAATGGGACGGCGCAGTGGCTCATACCTGTAATCCCAGCACTTTGGGAGGCCAAGGCCGGTGAACCACCTGAGGTGAGAAGTTTGAGATCAGCCTGGCCAACATGGTGAAACCCCATCTCTACCAAAAATACAAAAAAAAAAAAAAAAGAAGAAGAAAAAAAGAAAATCAGCCGGGCGCCATGGCATGCACCTGTAATGTCAGCTACTCAGGAGGCTGAGGTGGGAGAACTGCTTGAACCCGGGAGGTTGAGGCTACAGTGAGCTAAGATTGTGCCACTGCACTCCAGCCTGTGCGAGAGAGCAAGGCTCTGTCTCGAAACAAACAAACAAAACACACACACACACACACACACACACACACACACATACACACACAAAACAAGTGGGGCAGGCCAGAAGTTAGTGCCTAAGCAAACACCCTGTGGTTGGTGGAACTTGAGGAAAGGGAACACAGCCTGTTCAAAGGGGATTTTGCCAGTGAGCTGTAGCTGCATGTTACAGGCAGGTTTGTGAGACAGGTTGTAGTTTCACACACCTATAACATGTCTCTAGTCTTATTTAATTTTCCGATGAGAATATTTTTTGACATTTGTAATAATCTAACCTGATGTTTAGTACACTATAAGAAATAGGGATGGCTATGAGCAGGACTTTTACACAAAGTGGTCTCTGTTATTCCAATAATGATTCCCATGAAACAAGTTGGTTAGTTTTGGTTTGCTTTTTACTTTGTCTCAAAGATCAGCATTTATTATTTTCAAAAGCTATTTCTTACTTAATTTCTAATCTCTCTCAAACTACCACTTTTTAAAAGAAAGTTTTCCCACTTTAATTACAAATACTCTTTAGGAGGGTCCCATACATTCATTACAGTTTTCTCTAAAATCATAATATAAAGCAAGTTGTCCTGAATGGGATCATATGTTTCCATAAAAATCATGTTATAATGGGGAGGAGGATAAACCATCTAATAAATCAGTCATAACAAAAAAAATCATAATAATAAATATAACAAAAACCTGCTATACATTCATTTCCATGGTAAAATTATGCTTCTAATCATATAAAATGAGCATAAATGTATTACAATAATCTATATCTATATATAGATATATGTATTGATTATACAAAAGGCCTCAATATATCTATAAGTCTGTCTCTCTCTATATATATTTGGCTGAACACATAAAACTATATCGTAAAATTGACCTAAAACTCATGTAAGACCTGCAATAAATATTAATTGATAATTCAATAATTCTGTTTGATTTCATAGCATTTAGAAGTGCTTTGGGACAGATACAATTTGGATACTTATAAATTGTCTCAAGAAATATGTCACAAAGGTTTGATTGGTATAGTGCTTTCCCTTTGAAAGTTTTTCTTTTAATAAGCAGAAACATTCTCTCTGTGACGTTGCTTCCCTCAAGGACTGCAAAGGTCTCCAGTTCTTATTTATTGTCCTTGTTATATTTGTTCTTGTGTTTGCTGCTGCTGATGATGACGATAAAAAAAAATTGTTTTTTTCTGTCTCTTTGGTTCAAGTTTTCAGATTTCCAGAGAAAAAATTTTTAATAAAATCCTATAGGTAATCCCATTATTTAAAAATACACACCAAATGTATTTATTAGAAATGTATTTTTATAAGCTCAAGTTAAAAAATGTTACTTATTACAAATTCAATCAGTGAGAATACTAGGTATATGAAGCTGAACACAAAAATGTGAAAACAGAAACAGTGAATAACACTTGCAGTGTTACAGCAACTTTGGCATCCAATTTGTTTCCAGGCTATTTATCTGGCAGCACATTATTAGAAAAATACAAATATACAGAGATGAAAATGCCAATAGTTCAATAAAATAATAGCTTATAATCTCAGGATTTTAAATTAAACTTATTCACAATCTTAAAGGAAGATGAGTATCTTTTTGTTAAAAAATGAATAACAAATTTAAACTATAAAAACCACTTACATTCCACTAGTCTATACATTATATAGAATACTACACACACATATACCCCTATAAACAGTTACCTCAAAATTAAAAAGGAGTCTGGGCCTGAGAAATTCCTGAACAAACAAAACCAACTAGGCCTGAAAAAACAGCCTTAACCCTGCTTAAACTGCAAACATAAGCGAAACAACTCAGGTCACTTCTGGTACATGCCCATGTTAGACAAAAAGAAAATATAACCTCAGCCCATCATAAGAGGCCAGTTAACTTATAGTTCTGTAACTAGAAATTTTCTGACAAAGTAAACCAAAAAGGACAATTGTATAATTGCGACCAATCATATAGTTTATTCATCTTGCTTCTATATCCACCCCATATATACTTGCCTCTGACACTGTCGTTGGAACACTAAATTTAGTTTGCTGTTTCTCAGTTCATGAATGGCTGCTTACTCAAATAAACTCTTTAAAATTTGTTCCTCAGATGTTTCTTTTACAGTATATTAAGATGTTATTACTACACCATACACGTGCTTGCATCCTATGAAGATCCTCCAGGTAGAGGCTTAAAAATATTTAAGGCTTTGTTGAACACTCTCAAGCATTTCATAAATTATTGATAACCCACTATACCAACCACCAAGTCATTATTTGTAAAGACAAATAAAATAATATGTGTGGCAAAATTGCACAATATAGACATGACTGCTTATATTTTGTTGTCTTTATTTTATGCTTGTGCAAATCCCACAATGTTGGTACTCTTGAAGAAATGGATATAAGTGGTAAAATTGGCCATTAACTGTATCAAATGATTCAAGTTACAATGCGTAAAGGAGCAAATGAAAGGAATTCCTAGCGTTTCACTTACATTATGGGTTAAATAGAATTTTGTGATCTAATCTGAGACATGAGACACAAACACAAAATATACATTCAAAAATGTTGCTGATGGTTCTGTTGATTAATAATATTGTTTATTTGTGAAAATGTGATTTAAGAGCCAAATAATGCTTCTGCACATGAACTTTTGTGTAAAGCCTAATTATAATTTTAGAACCTCTCTTATTATCCTAGTTGTTATATCTACTTTAAAACATTGCTTCCTAAAACTAAAGTATTTGACATTAAAACTTTTTTTAAAATTTTATCATTAATTTTTGGTATGTTAATGGTAGAAAAAGATAATGAATGGTAATAAATGTTCATAAATTTAAAATATTTGTTAAATGCCAGGAACTGTATCAAATAAATAAATGTTGTCTCACCTTACTATAATTGTCATTTAAAAAATAAGAAGACAGGGCTCCAAGGAAGTGTAGCTATTTGTCCAAAGTCACAATACCATTCAGTGGCTAAGCTGTGACTTGGACCCGAGTCTGATTACTCTAAGGTCTACCTTCTTTACATTACAGTCTATCTTCTCCATGGGTAAAAAACAGATCATAAAATGAGAACACTGTGGTACTTAGACTTCATGATTCCTTCTAGATGGACTCCCTGGTGAGTCTTGAAAATGATTTGGAACTGATAGACACTGCAGTAAGTTAGACCTCTGCACCAAGGGATTTTCCATGTTCTTTCATCCTCCAGTCTAGAAATGATCCTCTCTTATATGTTACTCAAATTCCCTAAATTTACATTACTTTAATTAATCAATTTTTTCTGAGACGAGGTCTTGTTCTGTTGCCCAGCCTGGAGTGCAGTGGCACTAATGTAGCTCACTGCAGACTCAAACTCCTGGGCTCAAGCAGTCCTCCCACTTTGGCATCTCACAGTGCTGGGATTACAGACGTGAACCACAGTGCCTGGCCCTGAATTTACTTTTAATATGATACACTATAATTGTCTATCTATACACTTTTCTCTTTTGCCATAAGACTGTGAATAATTTGAGGGCAAAAATGTTTGGTCTTTTATCTTTATATCACCAATGCTTAGTTAAGTGTTTGTCTTACTACATAGCAGAAAGCCTGCTTGATGGTCAATAAATGTTTGAAATGAATGAATGAACAAAAACTCTGGAACTGTTACCTTAATTCTAGACCAGTCTCTGACTAAATAAACAAGATAAAGTGTCAAAAATCAATTTTACTTACTATTTAGTTTATTAAGAGACATCAAATTTTTCTTGCTACTTCTACTTTCTCCTTGTAGATTACTGATTCCCTTTGCTCAAGGATTTCATGAAGGTTAGTGCAATAATATTAAAAAATGTTCAGAGTTCCTTGAAAAAAGCCTTAAAACGAAAGTAAGTTATAATGGTTCTTATTTTATGCAAAGAGGTATAGAGGGTACATTTCTTATGTTTTATGCTTTTTAAAAAATATGGATAGCTTATTTCTTCTGGATTAAAAACAGGCAACAGTATCTAAAACAATTCAATTATTCAAGAAAGGAAACATATTTTCCTTTCTTCTCTTAAAATTTAAAATCATCACCATGTAATGCAATTAAGCAGATGGAAATGTTTCTAGTATTGTAAGAAGACATTCTTTCTTTTCATTTCTGTTACAAAATTGGAAACTTTTTTGCCAATATGTTGGTAATTAGTTTCTCAGTATATGTGCCAGCAAAATAAAAAAACAAAAATGGAAACACTTTTTGAACAATGAGACTATAAAAACACATTGCTATTTTAGATCACTAGTTTTCTGGGTCCTTCTTCTTCATATCGTTCATCCTTTTCCCACCTACTGAAATTTTACTCATAGCTTTTCTTATATTTTGCTAACCTCAAGTTAAACAATTCCTCAATTGAAAGTAACACCCTTCATTCTAGACTTAGTCCTCAAAGGTGCTATTTAACTGCAAAAAGATAGATGCTCAACCTAAACTTTTCACTGGTAGCCCCTGATAATGTGTGAACATTAGGATAAATGGAACCCAGCACCTGCAGCTGTTTACTTCTAGATCTGTGAAAAGAAATTTTAAAGAACAAAATTGCCGGGTACAGTTGCTCATACCGTAATCCCAGTACTTTGGGAGGCTGAGGTGGAAAGATTGCTTGAACCCAAGAGTTTGAGATCAGCCTGTGCAACACGGCAAAACAGACTCTACAAAAAATCAAAAAATTAGCCAGGTATGGTGGCATGCATCTGTGGTCACAGCTACTTGGAAGGCTGAGGTGGGAGGATCACTTGAGCCTGGGAGGTCAAGGCTGCAGTGAGCCATGATCATGCCACTGCACTACAGGCTGGGTGACAGAGTGAGACCTTGTCAAAAAAAAATAAGTATAAATAGTAAGAAAGTGATATTTAATTAAAATCAAATTCCTTAGACATTCACTTACGATTTTCATTACTTGTAGAATCTAGTATTAATCATATTAATGGTTCTACCACCCTGATAATCCAATTCCAGGACAGATAAGTCAGAATTTTCTAGGAAAATGATAAACCAACAGGTATCCTCTAAGTCTGTAGTGGAAGGTCTCATTTTCTGTAGAGCAAAATGGTCTGAGTGGGAAAAAAAATACTGATCTCAAAAGAAATCAGCACACTTGGACTTAAGCCTTGGGTCTTTTCTTAACTAGTTACATGCCCTTGAACAAGTCACTTGAGCACTCTTGACCTTGGCTTCCTGATCTGTGAAATTATAACATCAGGCCTGATAAGTTCTCAGATCTTATCCCAACGTAAAATTCAATTAAATTTTTTAAAATCAATATTCCTTGATGATTCATGAAAAGATAGGTAGATGTACAGTGAACGGATTATCCTTATGTATATCAGTTCTCATTCCACACAGGCAAGAACTTGAACAAGGAGGTCTGTTTAATAGGACTCCATTTTTAAAGTTTTAAAAACCTGGCAGGGCACAGTGGCTCATGCCTGTAGTCCCAGCACTTTGGGAGGCCGAGGTGAGCGGATCACTTGAGGTTAAGAGTTTGAGGCTAGCCTGGACAACATGGTGAAACCCCGTCTCTACTAAAAATACAAAAATTAGCGAGGCATGGTGGCAAGCACCTGTAATCCCAGCTACTCGAGAGGCTGAGGCAGGAGAATTGTTTGAACCTGGGAGGCGGGGATTGCAGTGAGCCAAGATCATGCCACTGCACTCCAGCCTGGGTGACAGAGCAAGACTCCACTCAAAAAAAAAAAAAATTGTAAATACTATTAAAATAAATTCATTTTATTATTTATTTTAAATATAAAACCATTCATCCACTTAAGAAACAACATGCTGGTGAATGGGTTTATAATAATCAAGACTTCTTTACCCAATGTTACAATATAGATCAAGTCTGTGATTTTGCTGTAACCTCTCGATATTGGCTGCTTGTAGAGAGGGAGACAAAAGAATAGGTCTGGAAAACAAAAATAAAGTGGATTTTAACTTCTTGCATATATACATACATGTGACAAATATGGCAAATATCAAACATTAATTTTTGTTAATTTGTTGATTCTGTGTGTTGAGTACACAAGCAAATTTATCTTTTCTATAATGGAGATAAATTGTTGATGCAAATCATGCAGTAAATTTGCAAAATTAACTGCAAATATCATTTTAAAAATTCAAAACTTGAATAATGACAGCAAGGAGGGCCTGGGGATTCATTAGGTACAGAACTAACTCCAAAGTTTGTAACTATTTATGGCCTTCTTACATAAAAACGTAAGAAATTCTAGTCTAGTCAGAGCAACCTCTGTTTATTTTAGTACAGGGATGTATCAAACTAAATGAAGATGCAAGTTCTTGAGGCACATTAAATTCAGCAAGTTAATGTGCTTTGGTCTATGAAGGAAATTGCCATTATCATTATCAACTATCCAGATCCTCCTGTATGTGGCTTTTACCTGTTGTCCACTGATTCTGGGATCCTGGGACAATGGGAAGCTATTAGCCTTTCAGTTTGTGGAGCCATTAATTAAATATAGACACTGTAGTGCCAGAATCTGTGGCAACAGACAAAACATTTAATCTATACCTCAGTTTCCTCATCTGTAAAATGAGGGTAATGACACTTAGGCATAAAGCTATAAAACCTAATGGGATAATAGACTTACAGCATTTGGCACATAAGAAACTCTAAATAAGTGTCCATTATTATTGAAGGAACACTCACAAGTCATCAACTGGGAACAAATATTTGCTACAGATATGTGAAGGATCAAGCTTTGACAATGTAAAGATTCATACTGAAAGAGATTCCCCTCCATTGTTTTTTATATAAAGTCAAGGAAATAGAGGATAATAAATGGCTAATAAACGGTCAATAAGTAGCTAATAGATGTGAAAAATATTCAACCTACTTACTAGATAACTAAAAAACTAAACTAAAAAATTAAAACTAAAACAAAGGCATGCAAATTATAAAAAAAAAACCCTAATACCATATTTAACCACTCGAATTGTTGGAAGATTTTACTTATTTAAGTCATCCTTACTTCTGATGTGATAAATCCAGTATTTTTCAGGAGATCGCAGGAGAAAAGTTTGTTCAGAAATTTTAGGAGAATATTTCAGAATATATATTAAAGATGTCAAAAATTTAATTGCATTAAGTAGTTCTACTTTAGAGTGCTGTACTAGGAAGATAATCAGAACTATGGGTCAAAATACACATACAGCACAGTGTTTCCAATTTTTCACTATTATGAATATTTCTATTGTTTAACAATAGAATATAATTAAATGAATTGTGGTTCACACAAATAAGCTTCATGCAGACATTTTAAATTATGTTTCTGAATAGTATAAATGACATAGAAAATGTAATATATGATTAAAATATTAACAGGAACAAAGCAGTATACAAACATGATATTTACCCAATTTGTTGGATAGATATAGATACAAAGTAGCAAAACAATACATCAAAATGTGACAATTTTTAAAAATATTTTATTGCACATCTAGTTCATATGTGTTGAATAATAATCAAAAAACATATATAAACAAAAAAAAATCACTTACAATTCTTTCAAGCAGAGATGAACAATATTAACAGCTTCTGGACATTTTCATATATATGTATTTTTAAAATAAAAATTGCATCATATTGCACACAATTTTAAACATTGTTTTTGCTATTTTCTTAATTTTTTATTGTAAACAGTGGTGTAATGCATTGTCAAGTAACTAAATATTTGCATTATTCTTAGTAATTTCCTTAAAATAAATTCTTACAAATAGATTTGGTAGCTCAAACGTTGCACACGTTTTTAGAATCCTTTCCCCTTCCCTTTCCCTTTTCCTTTCCCTTTCCTTCCTTTTTTCTTGAGATGGAGACTCACTCTCTTGCCCAGGCTGGAGTGCAGTGGTGCAGTCAGAGCTCACTGCATCCTCAAACTCTTAGGCTGGAGAGATCCTCCCACCTCAGCCTCTCAAGTAGCTGGGACTACACATATGTGCCACCAAGCCTGGCTAATTTTTTTTCTTTTTTGTAGAGACAGGGTCTCACTATGTTGCCTAGTCTGGTTTCCCACCCCTGAGCCCAAGTCATTCTCCTGTCTCCGCCTCCCAAAATGCTGGGATTACAGGCATAAGCCACCTGGCCCACCAACACATCTTTCTAAATACATATCCATCCTATTGGTTCTATTTCGCTGCGGAACCTTGACTTGTCCACGGGCATTAAAAAGGGCACATAAATTTATATTGCCACCAGCAGCATATCAAAGTCCCCATCTGTCTGCATCGAGGAAAGCCAAAGCTACTTGTTCTTAATTTTCTTTATTTACCAATTTGACACAAAATACTATCACATTGTTTTAATTTCTATATTTATTAGTTAAATATAGATATTGTCATATTCTTAATGATTATTTTTATTTTTTTCACTGAGTTGCCTTTTCATCCTTTTGTGTATTTATATGTATATACTTTGAGTTGTTGTTTGTTTTTTTTTTTTTGAGACGTAGTCTCGCTCTGTCGCCCAGGCTGGAGTGCAGTGGTGAGATCTTGGCTCACGGCAAGCTCCGCCTCCCGGGTTCACGCCATTCTCCTGCCTCAGCCTCCTGAGTAGCTGGGACTACAGGCGCCCGCCACCACGCCAGGCTAATTTTTTTGTATTTTTTTAGTAGAGACGGGGTTTCGCCGTGTTAGCCAGGATGGTCTCCATCTCCTGACCTCGTGATCCACCCGCCTCGGCCTCCCAAAGTGCTGAGATTACAGGCTATATTTATATACTTTTTAAAGAAGCTTTCTAAGTAACAGATATTAATTCCTTGTCATATATGCTGCAAATGTCCTGTTTATTTACTGTTTTTCTTTTAATTCTAGTCAGACTTTATTATTTTATAAGGAAATTTTAAATATTTATGTATACAAATCCAGAATTTCGCTCCTTTATGGCTTCTGGTGTAGTGTTATTCTAAAAAAGTCCCTCCTCAATGCAAGACTATAAATTTCTATGTACATAAACATTCATAACTTTTATTATTTTATTCTCATAGCTGATTCCTTGCTTCATTTGGAATTTATTTTGGTAGAATGTGAGGTAGAGATCTAACGTTTCCCCCTATTACATCATCCATTTTTATTTCATTAATCTGAGATGCTAGAGGCACCAAGCCTCACTGTTAGGCACCACTTATTTTTATTAGGTTTGACCATTAGCAAACATCAGGATATAGGAACAGTGGCCCCTTCCTTCAGCTGGTCTTATATGACCTTAATTTTTGCAGAACTTGTTTAAATCTATATTGATCTGTACTATTTAACCTGGTATAGGATTTAGGGTGAATGAGTCCATGGAGCCCCATTTTATCAAGCTAATCTTAAGTGTCAGAGGTTTAATTCTACTCTATTATTTACTAGGTCAAAATGTTTATGCCCACTATGGGACATTGGGCACGGAACACTGTGATTGTGGGGAATATACGCAACATTTTCAAGGCTAAGGTTGGGTATATTTATTTGTCCTCTATTTTATGGTCAGTAACTCCACTAAGAGTATAGGGGGTACCTGGTTTATATTTTGTGGCATTCCCAGGTACAACTGTAATTTGAGCCCCATTAATTAGGCCATAAATGTTTTCCAATTGGCACATCTCAGCAGACATTAATTTAGTACCTATTTTGTAGAAACACAATAATCAATAGTCATTTTTATCTTTCTTTTCCACAAATTATTTTAGTGAATTTTGATTTCCAGTTGGACCAAATCACAGATCCCTGTTTCAGTGCCTATTTCTTCCCATTGTATAAAGTGTTTTTGTTGTTGTTGTTTTATTTTATGTTTAAAGTTACTGGATATACTACATGGAGAGGGGGAAAGGGGAGTTTTCTCCATTCTGCTCATTTTTGTAAGTCTCATCCTTCAGAGAGTGCTAAATTAGTATCGTGGGGTAGGGACCTCCCACATGGTGAATGTTGTTATGATGGTTTAGGGACTCCGGAATTAAGCTGGGTATGAATTAACCACTTGATATGTTGATAAGCTGCAATACTCAATAGACCCCACAATCTTTGCCCGTTCCTTTTATGGTTATTTAATAGCGTAACAGTGCCCTCTGGACCTATAATGGGGTTGAGTGTAGAGCAGTTAGGGTTGCTTTTCATAAGAGTCTATGCCATAGGAGGTACCATGGGAGTTTTTTCTGTATAATCCTGAGGACCAGGGTCTTTGTAGCAACAGAGGCATGAGTGGCAACAGCAGCAGCAGCAGCAGCAGCAGCAGCAGCAGAGCCATCTTAAGGTTTATAGAGTCTCAGTGAGCTCTCTGAACTTAAGCATGTGGACCTCAGAACACAACATAGTGACTACTCTTCCTCACACTAGCACACAACTAATGGGTCTATATACTGCACAGGGGCTCAACACCTGCTTGAGAAATTCAGCCAATGGTCATTGGGTAAAAGTTGTTTCACGTGTCCAGAGTAAGCTATGACTTATGCTGAAATTGAAATACATGGATAGATCTAAGCCAAACATATGACCCAGGCCCACTTTTAGAAGGAATTCGAATGCCACACTCCTACCCTAAATATCCTGTCAAAATTTTCAACATAATTAGTTAAATCTATACCAGAAACTTAGTAGGATTCAGCAAATGCATCACAGCACAACACAATTCAAAATGCAAGCTTACTGGTAGGCAGTAAAGCAATTCAAAACACAAACTAGCCAGGAGGCAAAAGCTCAATGTACACTGTCACCAGCAGGCAGGAGAACCAGGTAGCAAGCCAAAAACAAGAAAGACCCCCAGGTCTCCTAGTGCCAATTATTTTGTAGTTGCCCTGAAGAGAATGAGATCGACCTCCCACCTAAAATAGGTTCAGATTATCAAGACTGAGGATGACACATGTGCTACAAGAGAGTATTAAAAGGTTCCTTACCTACGTAATGGGACTTTCTGGGGACACCAAAGCAAGCACTAAAGCTGACCTGATATTACTTAAGTGAAGGGACATGCAGGTGGCTTTGGTTTTTATTGTGGTTAGGAGGTAGGACCTAGGTGACATCTTGCACACAGCCAGGGTTTGCATGGCTTGAACTTCTCCAACAGCACCAAGGGAGGGAGTACTCAGGGTTTCTTATCAGTTTGCCCAGATACGGAACAAGAGGCAAAAGGGAAAGGGCAGGGTCTGGAAGCTGTCAGCAGCCAAACATAGAACATGGAGTCAGGTTAGTTATCACAGTGTTTATTTTCATTTTGTTCCATCATTGTTAGATTTTGGCATCCGTGTTACATAAAGCGAGTAAAAACATTTTAGCAGACTTTCCACATTTTTTTCACCTATAGGATAATTTAACTGGTATGTAAATTATCTGTTCCCTGAAAATTTGCTAGGATTTACACTTAAAATCTTATCAGTCATTTTTAGAATTAATTATATGATAATTTAATTTTTCCTATGGTGATTGCTATTCTAGAGTTCCGTTTCCACTAAGGTCAATTTTTATTATTTTACGTATTCCAGATTATGCTATTTAGATCATTTATATTTTTGAAAAACAATGTAAATTTTTTAGCTTTTATTTTAGGTTTGGGAGTACATTTGAATGTTTGTTACATAGGTAAACATGTGTCACAGGGGGTTGTACATATTATTCATCACCCAGGTATTAAGTCCTATACCCAATAGTGATCTCTTCTGCTCCTCTCCCTCTTCCCACCCTTCCCACTCAAGTAGACCCCAGTGTCTGTCATTTCTTTTTTTGTGTTCATAAGTGAGAACATGTGGTATTTGGTTTTCTGTTCCTACATTAGGAAGGATACGGATAATAGCCTAAGGATAAGGATAATAGCCTCCTGCTCCATGTTTCCACAAAAGACATGATCTCCTTCTTTTTTATGACTGCACAGTATTCCATGGTGCATATGTACCACATTTTCTCCATCCGATCTGTCATTGATGGGCATTTAGGTTGATCCCTTGTTTTTGCTATTGTGAATAGTACTGAAATAAACACTCGTGTTCATGTGTCTTTATGGTAGAATGATTTATGTTCCTCTGGGTATACCCAGTAATGGGATTGCTGGGTCAAATCAGTTCTGCTTTTAGCTTTTGAGGAATTGCCATACTGCTTTCCGCAATGGTTGACGAATTTACACTCCTTCCAATGGCGTATAAGCATTCCCTTTTATGTGAAACCTCACCAGCATCTGTTATCTTTTCACTGTGAGATGGTATTTTATTTCATTGTGGTTTTGATTTGCATTTCTCTAATGATTAGTGATATTGAGGTTTTTTTCCTATGCTTCTTGACCACATGTATGTCTTCTTTTGAGAAGTGTCTGTTCATGTCTTTTGCCCAATTTTTAATGAGGTTGTTTTTCTGTTGTAAATTTGTTTAAGTTCCCCACAGATGCTGAATATTAGACCTTTGTCAGATGCCTAGTTTGCAAAAATTTTCTCCCATTATTTAGGTTATCTGTTTACCATGTTGATAGTTTATTTTGCTGTGAAGAAGCTCTTTAGTTTAATTAGATCCCATTTGCCAATGTTTGCTTTTGCTGCAATTGCTTTTGGTGTCTTATTAATGAAATCTTTGCCCATTTGTGTGTCCTGAGTGGTGTTGCCTAGGTTGTCTTCCAGGGTTTTTATAGTTTGGGGTTTTACATTTAAGTCTTTAATCCATCTTGAGTTGAATTTTCTATATTGCATAAGGAAGGCATCCAGCTTCAGTGTTCTGCATATGGCTAGCCAGTTATCCCAGCACCATTATTGAATAGAGAATCTTTTCCCCATTGCTTGTTTTTGTCAGCTTTGTCAAAGATCAGATGGTTGTAGATGTGTGGTCTTATTCTGGCCTCTCTACTCTATTCCTTGACCAATGTGCCTATTTTTGTACCAGTACTATGCTGTTTTGTTTACTGTAGACTTGTAGTATAGTTTGAAGTCAAGTAGCATGATGCCTCCAGCTTTGTTGTTTTTGCTTGGCTATTCAGGCTTTTTGGTTCCATATGAATTTTAAAATGCTCTTTTCTACTTCTATGAAGAATGTCGTTGGTAGCTTGATAGAAATAGCATTAAATGTGTAAATTGCTTTGGGCAGTATCACCATTTTAATATTATTGATTCTTCTTATCCATGAGCATGGGATGCTTTTCCATTTTTTTGTGTATCGTCTCTGATTTCTTTGAGCAGTGTTTTGTAATTCTCATTGTAAAGATCTTTTACTTCCATGGCTAGCTGTATTCCTAGGTATTTTGTTCTTTTTGTGGCAATTGTGAATGGAATTGCCTCTCTGATTTGGCTTTCAGTTTGGCTGTTGCTGGTATATGGAAATGCTAGTGATTTTTATACATTGATTTTGTATCCTGCAACTTTGCTGAAGTTGTTTATCAGCTGACGGAGATTTTGGGCCAAGTCTATGGGGTTTTCTAGACTCCTTGAACAAAAGTAGTGAGAGAGGGCATCCTTGTCTTGTTCCAGTTTTCAAGGAGCATGCTTCCAGCTTTTCCCCATTCAATGTAATGTTGGCTGTGGGTTTGTCATAGATGGCTATTATTTTGAGGTATGTTCTTTCAGTACCTAGTTTATTGAGAGTTTTTAACGTGAAGGGGTGTTGAATTTTATTAAAGCTTTTTCTGCATCTATTGAGATAATCATGTGGTTTTCATCTTTAGTTCTGTTTATGTGATGAATCACATTTATTGATTTGCATGTGGTAAACCAATCTTGTATCCCAGGGATAAAGCCTGCTTGATCATGGTGGATTAGCTTTTTGATGAGCTGTTGGATTTGGTTTGCAAGTATTTTGTTGAGGATATTTGCATCAATGTTCATCAAAGATATTGACCTGAAGTTTTCCTTTTTCATTGTGTCTCTGCCAGATTTTGGTATCAACATGATGCTGGCCTCATAGAATAAGTTGGGGAGGAGTCCCTTCTCCTCAATTTTTTGGAGTAGTTTCTGTAGAAATGGTACCTTCCCTTTTTTCTACATCTGGTAGAATTTGACTGTGAATCCATTAGGTCCCAAGCTTTTTTTGGTTGGTAGGCTATTTATTACTGATTCAATTTTGGAGCTTGTTATTGTTCTGTTCAGGGAATCAATTTCTTCCTGGCTCAGCCTTGGGAGGGTGTATGTGTCCAGGAATTTATCTATCTCTCCTAGGTTTTCTAACTTGTTTACATAGAGGTGCTCATAGTAGTTTCTGACAGTTGCTTTTATTTCTGATGGTAGTAATATTCTTTTCATCATTTCTAATTGTGTGTATTTGGATCTTCTCTCTTTTCTTTTTTTATTAGTCTACCTAATGGCCTTTTTCATTTTTTTTTTCAAAAAAACCAACTCCTAGATTCATTGAGCTTTTGAATGGTTTTTCACATCTCATTTTCCTTCAGTTCAGCTCTTATTTTTGATATTTCTTATCTCCTGTGAGCCTTGGGGCTGACCTGTCCTTGCTTCTCTAATTCTTTCAGTCATGAACATAGGTTGTTAATTTGAGATCTGATTTTTTAATCTGAGCATTTAGTGCTATGAATTTTCCTCTTAACACTGCCTTATCTGTGCCCCAGAGATTCTGGTATGTGGTACCTTTGTTCTCATTATTGTCAGAGAACTTATTGATTTCTGCCTTAATTTCATTATTTACCCAAAAGTTTTTCAGGATCATGTTGTTTAATTTCCAGTAATTACATGGTTTTCAGCAATTTTTATAGTTGACTTCTATTTTTATTGAGCTGTGTTTGGTATGATTTTAGTTCTTTTAGATTTGTTGAGGATTGTTTTATGTCCAATTATGTGGTCAATTTTAGAGTACAGGCCATGTGGCAATGATAAGAATGTATACTCTGCTGTTTTGGGGGAGAGAGTTCTATAAAGCTCTATCAAATCCATTTGGTCCAATGTTGAATTTAGTTCCTGAATATCTTTGTTAATGTTATGCCTTGATGACCTAATACTGTCAATGGAGTGTTGAGGTCTCCCATTATTATTGTGTGACAGTCTATGTCTCTTTATAGGTCTCTAAGAATTTGCTTTATGAATCTGGATGCCCATGTGTTGGGTGCATATATATTTCAGATACTTAGACCTTCTTGTTAAATTGAACCCTTTACCATTATGTAATGCCCTTCTTTTTCATTTTTGATCTTTCTTGGTTTGAAATCTGTTTTGTCTGAAATTAGAATTGCACCCCCTGATTTTTTCTGTTTTCCATTTGCTTGGTAGATTTTCCTCCATCCCTTTATTGTGAACCTATGAGTGTCATTACATTTAAGATGGGTCTCTTTAAGACAGCATACCATTGGGTCTAGCTTTTTTATCCAGCTTGCCACTCTATACTTTTGAACTGAGGAATTTGGCCAATTTACTTTCAAGGTTAGTATTAATACGTGTGGATTTTATCCTGTAGTTGTGCTGTTAGCTTGTTATTATGCTGGCTTGTTTGTGTGGTTGCTTTATAATGACACTGGTCAGTGTGCTTAAGTGTATTAACTGGTAGCAGTCTCCTTTCTATATTTAGTCTACCTTTCAAGGTCTCTTATAAAGCAGGTCTAGTGGTAATGGACTCCCTCAACATTTGCTTAACTGAAAAAGATCTTATTTCTCCTTCACTTAGGAAGCTTAGTTTGGCTGGATATAAAATTATCTCTTAAAGAATGTTGAATATAGGCACCCAATCTCTTCTGGCTTGTAAGATTTTAGCTGAGAAATCTGCTCTTAGCCCGATGGGGTTTCCTTTGTAGGTGACCCACCCTTTCTCTCTAGCTGCCTTTAACATTTTTTCTTTGATTTGAACCTTGGAAAATCTGAGGATAATGTGCCTTGGGGATAATCTTCTTGTGTAGAATCTTGCAAGAGTTCTCTGTATTTCCTGAATTTGACTGTTGGCCTCTCTAGTAAGGTTGGGGAAGTTTTCATGAATGATATTCTGAAATATATTTTCCAACTTCTTTGCTTTCTCCCGCTCCCTTTCAAAGACGCCAATGATGCATAGATTTGGCCTCTTTATGTAATTCCATACTTCTTGGAGATTTTGTTCATTCCTTTTTATTCTTTTTCCTTTATTTCTGACTATCTTATTTCAAAGAGCCATTCTTCAAGTTCTGAAATTCTCTCCTCAGCTTGGTTTATCCTGCTGTTAATATTTGTGATTGTATTGTCAAATTCTTGTGTCATTCAGCTCTGTCAGACCCATTAGGTTCTTTTTTTTTTTTTTTTTTTTTTTTTTTGAGACGGAGTCTCGCTCTGTTGCCCAGGCTGGAGTGCAGTGGCGGGATCTCGGCTCACTGCAAGCTCCGCCTCCCGGGTTCACGCCATTCTCCTGCCTCAGCCTCCCAAGTAGCTGGGACTACAGGCGCCCGCCACTACTCCCGACTAATTTTTTGTATTTTTAGTAGAGACGGGGTTTCACTGTTTTAGCCGGGATGGTCTCGATCTCCTGACCTCATGATCCGCCCGCCTCGGCCTCCCAAAGTGCTGGGATTACAGGCGTGAGCCACCGCGCCCGGCCTAGGTTCTTTTTTATATGGGCTATCTTTCCCTTTAGCTCCCATATCACTTTATCGCGATTTTTATTTTCCTTGGACTGAGTTTTCCATCCTCCTGAATCTTGATGATCTTTGCTCCTGTTTATATTCTGAATTCTATTGCTGTCATCTGACCAGTTCAGCCTATTTAAGAACTCTTGTTGAGAGGCCAACATGGCTGAAAAGAAACAGCTGCAGTCAGAGGTTCCCACCAAGAAAAATGAAAATGATGCATGAATCCTGCATCAGCAACTGAGGTATTTAGGTTATCTCATTTGAACTGACTAGGAGGTTGGCATGACCAATGGAGAGCAAGAAAAAGCAGGGTGATGCAACAGCCCACCTGGGAGCCATGTGGGGCAAGGGGAACTCCTGACCCCAGCTTTTTCCATGGATCTGTCAGAGGCATTCAAACCAGAGTGACTCCATCTTGAGTGACAGTGAGGAAAAATGAGGTTGGGACTTGATGGGCTGCCTTCACAGAAACTTAGGTATTCCTAACCTCTAGATATTTATAGTTAAAGGAAAAGATAGATAACTTTTACTAAGCAGACCCAGATTTGGGAGTGTCCCAATATCCCTATATCTAGAGAATGAAGAATTCCTAATTTTGCTCTAAAGATAATAATATTGATTATTGCAAAATACAGCAATTAAGAAAATTAATCCTTTATTACAAACCCTTGTAGCAGAGCACATCTCTTCATAATCTTTTCTTATCCTTTATATAAACAGGTATTGTATCTATGGTGGACACGTTTGGGAATGCCCTACTCTGTCTATGGAGCAGTTGTTCTTTCACCACTTGACTTTCTTAATAAACTCATTTTTGCTTTGCACTGTGGATTCATCCTGAATTCTTTCTTGCACAACATCCAAGAACTCTCTCTTGGGGTCTGAATTAGGATCCCTTTCTGGTAACAGAACTGTGCAACCTGCAGATAAGGAGATCCCCATCAGGAGCCTATATCACCAGGGCCCTGGGTCCTAAGCACAAAGTTGTGCAGATTCTCAGTGGCCACTTGGCTGAAAACTGCCTAAGACTACTGAGTTCCTGGGGGAAGGGGTGACCGTCGTTACAGCAGCTGCCTGTTGCCTAAGACAACTGAGCTCCCCTAGGTGTGGCAGCCATCACTGTGGCCACCTATTGCCTAAGATGACTGAGTTCCCTGTGGGAGGGGCAGCAGCCGTCACTGCAGCTTCATTTGGCCATTTTTCCCCTGCCAGTGCCAGGGAGACTAAACAGTTTAGACTCAGGAGGAATTCCCTACAGCACAGCATAGTGGCTATGGCAGGTCATGGCCAGACTGCCTCTTTAGGCTGAACCCAATCCACCCCTCCTCACAGGGTGGGGCCTCCCTGCAGAAATTTCAGCAACTCCAGCCAGGGGTTTAGGGTTAGAAGTCTGATCTCCCTGGGACTGAGCCACAGTCTCCACAGATCAGCAGACATGGTCTTTCCCCCTACTGGCTCTGAGGAATCCTGGAGGTCCAGATGATTTGGATTCCCCCCAGCACAGCTCATCCCCTCCACTAAGGGGCAGCCAGAGTGCTTCATCAATTGGGTCCTGGATCCTATGCCTCCTGACTGGGTGAGGCCTCCCAACATGGGTTACCAGACACCTTATACAGGAGCATTCCCACTGGCATCAGATTGGTGCCCCTCTGAAACAGAGATCTCACAGGAAGGAGAAGGCAGCCATCTTTGCTGTTCTGCAGTCTCCACTGGTGACATCACCAGATACAGGAGGGGCCCAGGCAAATAGGGTCTGGGGTAGACCCCCAGTAAATCACAGCAGCCCTATAGAAGAGGGCACTGACTGTTAATAGAAAACCAAACAAACAAAAAGCAACAACAACAGCATCAACAAAAAACGTCCACAGAAAAACTCCATTCAAATATGAGCAGCCTCAAAGACCAAAGCTAGATAAACTCAGGAAGATAAGAAAGAATCAATGAAGAAGCATGGAAAACTCAAAAAGCCAGAATGCCTCCTCTCCTCCCAATGATCACAACACCTCTCCAGCAAGGGCACAGAACTGGGCAGAGGCTGAAATGGATGAATTCACAGAAGTAGGCTTTAGCAGTTGGGTAATAATGAAATTTGCTGAGCTAAAGGAGCATGTTATAACCCAGTGCAAAGAAGCTAAGAACCACGATAAAACATTACAGAAGCTGTTAACCAGAATAACCAGTTTAGAGAAGAAGATAAAATACCTGATAGAGCTGAAAAACACAACTTCACAATGCAGCCACAGTACCAATAACTGAATAGGCTAAGCAGAGGAAAGAATTTCAGAGCTTGAAGGCCATGTTGCTGAAAGAAGACAGACAGACAAGATTAGAGAGAAAAGAATGAAAAGGAACAAACAAAACCTCTGAGAGCTATGGGATTATGTAAAAAGACTAAACCTATGATTGATTGGGTACCTGAAAGAAACGGGGAGAATGGAACCAAGTTGTAAAACATACTTCAGGATATCATCCAGGGGAACATCCCCAACCTAACAAGACAGGTCAACATTCAAATCCAGGAAATACAGAGAACCCCACTAAGATACTCCATGGGAAGATTGACCCCAAGACATGTAATCATCAGATTCTTCAAGGTCAAAATGAAGGAAAAAATGCTAAGGGCAGCCAGAGAGAAAGGTCAGGTCACCTTCAATAAGAAGCTCATCAGACTAACAGCAGACTGCTCAGCAGAAACCCTGCAAGCCAGAAGAGACTGAGGGCCAATATTCAACATTCTTAAAAAAAAAAAAAAAACAATTTCCAACTCAGAATTTCATATCTGGCCAAACTAAGCTTCATAAGTGAAGGAGAAATAAAACCCTTTTCAGACACATAAATGCTGAGGGAATTAATCAAGGCTCCTGCCTTGCAAGAGCTCCTGAAGGAAGCACTAAGTATGGAAAGGAAAAAGTGGTACCAGCCATTGTGAAAACACACTGAAGTACAAAGAACAATGACACTATGAAGCATCTACATCAACAAGTTTGCAAAATAAACAGCTAGCAAAATAAACAGTTTACCATGATGACAGGATCAAATTCACACATAACAATATCAACCTTAAACATAAATGGGCTAAATGCCCCAATTAAAAGACACAGAAGGAAAAGCCAGATAAAAAGTCAAGACCCATCAGTGTGTTGTATTCAAGAGACTCATCTCACATGCAAAGACACACATAGGCTTAAAATAAAGGGAAGGAGGAAAATTTACCAAGAAATTGGAAAGCAGAAAAAAGCAGGGCTTGCAATCCTAGTTTCTAACAAAACAGACTTTGAACCGACAAAGATCAAAAACACAAAGAAAGGCATTATACAATGGCAAAGGGATTAATTCAACAAGAAGAGCTAACAATCATATATGTGTGTGTGTGTGTGTGTGTGTGTGTGTGTGTATACCCCCAATACAGAAGTACCCAGGTTTATAAAACAAGTTCTTAGAGACTGACAAAGAGACATAGACTCCCACACAATAATAGTGGGAGACTTTAACAACCCACTGTCAATATTAGACAGATCATTGAGACAGAAAATTAACATGGATATTCAGTACTCGAACTCAGCCCTGGATCAAGTGGACCTGATAGATATATACAGAACTCTCCACCCAAAAACAGAATATGCATTATTTGTAGTGCCACATGGAACTTACTCTAAAATCAATCACATAATTAGAAGTAACATACTCCTCAGTAAATGCAAAAGAACTGAAATTGTAACAGTCTTTCAGACCACAGCACAATCAAATTAGAACTCAAGATTAGGAAACTCACTCAAAACCACACAACTACAGGGAAATTGAACAATCTGCTCCTGAATGACTCCTAGGTAAATAATAAAATTAAGTTAGAAATCAAGAAGTTCTTTGAAACCTATGAAAACAAAGAGACAACGTACCGGAATCTCTGGGATACAGCTAAAGAAGTGTAAGAAGGAAAATTTATAGCACTAAACGCCCACATTAAAAAGCTAGAAAGAACTCAAATCAACACCCTAACATCATAACTAAAAGAACTAGAGGATAAGAGCAAACAAACACCAAAGCTAGCAGAAGACAAGAAATAACCAAGACTAGAGTGGAACTGAAGGAGATAGAGACATGAAAAACCCTTCAAAAATCAATGAATCCAGGCGCTGGTTTTTTTTTGAAAAAATTAATAAAATAGATAGATCACTAGCTAGACTAATAAAGAAAACAAGAGAGAAGAATCAAATGACACAATAAAAAATGATAAAGGGTATATCACCACTGAACTCACAGAAATACAAACAACCATCAAAGAACACTATAAGCATCTCTCTGCAAATAAACTAGAAAATCTACAAGAAATGGATAAATTTCCCAGACACATACACCCTGCCAAGACTGAACCAGGAAGAAGTTGCATTTCTGAATAGAGCCATTATAAGTTCTGAAATTGAGGAGGTAATAAATTGCCTACCAACAAAAAAAAAAGCCCAGGACCAGAAGGATTCTCAGCTGAGTACTCCCGGAGGTATGAAGAGGAGCTGGTACTATTTCTTCTGTAACTATTCCAAAAAATTGAAAAGGAGGGACTTCTCCCTAACTCATTTTATGAGGACAGCATCATCCTGATACCAAAACCTGGAAGACATACAAAAAAAAAAAAAAGAAAGAAAGAAAGAAAAGAAAAGAAAAAAAAAGAAAAGTTCAGACCAATATCCCTGATGAACATCAATGCCAAAATTCTCAATAAAATACCGGCAAATCAAATCCAGCAGTACATCAAAAAGTTTATCCACCATGATCAAGTCAGCTTCATCCCCAGGATTCATTGCTGGTTCAACATGCACAAATCAATAAACATAATTCATCACATAAAACTAATGACAAAAACCACATGATTATCTTAACAGATGCAGAAAAGAACTTTGATAAAATTCAACATCCCTTCATGTTAAAAACTCTTAATAAACTATGTATTGATGGAACATACCTCAAAATAATAAGAGCCATTTATGACAAACCCATAGCCAATATCATACTGAATGGGGAAAAGCTGAAAGCATTCCCCTTGAAAACCTGCACAAGACAAGGATGTCCTCTCTCACCACTCTTATTAAATGTAGTATTGGAAGTTCTGTCCAGGGCAATCAGGCAAGAGAAAAAAATAAAGCGTATTCGAATAGGAAGAGAGGACATCAAACTGTCTCTGTTTGCAGATGACATGATCCTATATCTAGAAAAGCCCATCGTCTCAGCCCAAAAGCTTCTTAAGCTGATAAGCAACTTCAGCAGTCTCAGGATACAAAATCAACGTGCAAAAATCACAAGCATTCATTTACGCCAACAATAGACAAGCAGAGAGACAAATCATGAATAAACCCCCATTCGTGATTGCTAAAAGGAGAATAAAATACCTAGGAATAAAGCTAACAAGGGACGTGAAGGACCTCTTCAAGTAGAACTTCAAACCACTGCTAAGGGAAATAAGAGAGGACACAAACAAATGGAAAAATATTCCATGTTCGTGGCTAGAATCAATATTGTGAAAATGGCCATGCTGCCCAAAGTTATAGATTCAATGTTATTCTCATTAAACTACCATGGACATTTTTCACAGAATTAGGAAAAAACTACTTTAAAATTCACATGGAACCAAAAAAAGATCTTGTATAGCCAGGACAATCCTAAGCAAAAAGAACAAAGCTGGAGGCATCATGTTACCTGACTTCTTGATTTCTGTCTTAATTTTTGAATGTGATCAGATTTATGCTAATAGGAAGATCCCTGATATCACTAGGGAGTATAGATTAAGATACTCAAGGACATGAGTTCTATAAAGAGATTTATAAAACTAGAGCTCAGAAAAAGATCTTGACTAAAAAAAGCAATTTGAGTGTCATCTCCATCTACATGGAAACTGTAGCCATAGGCTTGAATGAAATTGTACATTATATAAAATTAAGCAAATTTTAAATAGTCGTATACAGAAGATAAAATATGATAGGAATAATTCTCTTGAGGCAAGAAGATTCAGAAACAGTGATCTTTTAACTGTATTTCTACCTTAAATTCTATCTAATTAACCCACACCAAGTCAATTTGCATTATACTCCTTTATATTTGTTCTTATGTAGCTTTGAAAGTATTAAGTCTTGTTCAAATGTTTTACTACACTAATTAGATCATCATTTTCTGAAGAAGTTTATAATAACCATAAATTAAATTTTAAAATTAAAAGTGCAAATGTGTGTATAAAGAAACCTTGATAATCCTATTTCTTTGTTTTATGTCCATAAGTATCTGGTTGAGGGTAATGAAATAGGGTGCTATTAGTGATATTAATAAGGCATTGCTATTTTAGACAACAGACCAAAGGGACCCCAATACTCCAAACAAGCTGTAGTAGTTTTATATTGGTATGTAACACATTATTAATAAATTATCAATTGGAAGTTGGCCTTAAATTTCAGTGAAAAATGCTGTAATTGAGTTCAGAATTAGAAACTCACTTTTTCCAATCATCATTATACATAAAGCATGATGAAGTTTTGAGTAGGCTCCCTTTACTACTACCCCTATTTTGTACCTTATGACTCCAAACCAAGAAAAGATACATTAAAAGCACACCTTCCACTCAAAAGATAAAGGACTGAGAAACAAACAAATGTCAGTTTCTGGAACTAGGCTAACCACCACAAGTCAACTTTTCGGTAGGAATTACCCAGAAATAGGGATCACCTACTTTTCCTTGGAAATAGAAAAAGTGACTTCATTATAAATGTGCCTACATTTAATCAAGAGAAGGAATTATATCCTCAGAAAATAATGTCTAATCAGAGAACCCTTGACACTCCTTTGCCTTTGAGAGCATGATGGGAATAAAGAGGAAGGTGGAGCTGCTCCTAGAATAAAAAACTAAAGTGGCAACAGAAAAAAATTATACTAAAATTACTTTAATAATAGTCATTGTTGATCTTTCAGTATTCGACATTGCTGGTATGAAACTGTAAGACCAAGAAGCTATAAATAATGTCTGTTTTTATTAGAAGAGTTAATACCAATCAAAATACGTTAAGGTCCACTACCCTTAGAAGTTACTTAAATATGTGCAAGTTTTAAAATTCTGCTTTGATCCAACTGACTGATAAACATTTCATGGACCTTACAGAGTAATTGGTAAAGTTATGAAACTTTAAATTTGTGATCTTATCATGGTTCAATCCACTTTATTGAAATTAAGAAAAACTAGTATACTCACCATTGCTGAGGAAGAAAAGAATTCAGGACAGATTTTTAAAATAATTTTTTCATTTTCATTTGCAATGAGTTGAACATTATTTTGTAAATTTATGAGCAGAATTATACAACCTAGTACTGTAATGAAATGCAAATATCTCCGTTCATTAAGGCTCAACTGTTCCATCAGTTTTGCATACATAGTTCAGTGGGGACTGATAATTATATAGCAATGTGAAAAAAATGTCTATTAAGTATCAGTATGAGGCAGCTAGGTGTATCAAATTATACCCACATAATGTGATTTCGCAAAGTGATTTGATTTTTTTTATTACTTCACAGTCTTTGTTTTACTGGATTTGATGGAGTGTGGCATATTTTCAAAGTGAATTACAAGTTCTGAAAACACTTAAATGTGTTTCATCCAAACATTCCTTAAAATTAAGGATCTAATTTTGATGACATTGTGTGTATATGTGTAACACATATTTTTTAAATCCTTGAATTTTAAGTCACTGAATTTATTTTAAAAAATTAAAATTTTTATTTTTAAGATAGATTATACTTATTTGATTAAATGCTTTTTTCACTTTAAACCAACTTAGAGTTTTTATTTTAATATTAGAATTTCTGGTTTAATAAATTTGATATGGTAGATTCCTTTTTCAACTTTATTAAACCAATTTACCATAAAATAAACTACACTAAAAGCAAAAGTTACAATAAGATAATTTTCAAAGAAGTGAGATTCTCCTATAACCAAGATAATGATACCGTTTATAGGAATTTGCCATTTGAAGTGTCCACCACATTCATTAAAAACTGTCATGGTGATTGTACAGATGCCAGGAAGATGGCTTCACCACCATGGAGTAGATTTGGTCCTCTTCTGAGTAGCTCCTTATCTGAATTTATCTTATTTTTCTCTCTGATTATTTGTCCTTTTGAGGTAGACATTTTTTTATCTAGCTTTTTCTGTTCTGTATACTCTCTACCTCTTATTAACATCCTCAATCTTTCACTACGGTTATTTCCCCTTTTTCTCAAACATATACAATATTTTCTGTGAAAAATAACAAGAAATAAAACTCTTATTTCATTCTATTGTTGTCTTCTATATATCTTACAAAAGTAAACCATTACTTTTCTTACAGCCATTGTCCTTGAAGTTTTTAATAAACTACTCAATTTCAATACCCCCTCCTTTCAGTTTAAAAACCTGGAATCTAATTTCCAATCACACGACTCCACCGAAGCTACCATGTGGAGGTCATCTCTTACCCCCTAGTTAAATTTAACCCACTTGTCTGTCCTCATTTTAACCTTGCTTCTTCCTTTGGCTCTGCCAATTAGTCCTTCCTTTTCAACTCTCTCTCGGTTTCTGTGATATTTCATCTTCTAGATCTTCTCCTACTTCTCTAATCAGGATTTCTTTGTTCTCTCGTTGGTTTTAGCTCCTCTTTCTATCCCCTTACTGTTTATTGAAGTACAACATAAATAAAAGTCAGAAAGCACAATTGTTCAGCTTCATAAATTTTTACAAAGTGTACCTTCCACTGTAATCAGCACCCAGATCAAGAAACAGAACATTGCTGTCACCCTAGAGGCCAATCAGCACCCCACCCTGAGATATCATAATCATTAGTCCTTAGCCTGCCTTTCTTCTTCTTCAACAAGTCACTTTTATGATTCAATTACCATTTCCATATTGATGAATTCCACATTGATATTTCAAGGTCTGATGTGTTGTGTGAAATCTTTGGCTCCTTCCCCTCCTTATCTCTTTATGCAGGTAAACATTAGACTCTAATCATGTTATTTCTCAAGATGTTAAACTGTTTCCTTCTTTTCATTCCCATGTTACCACTACAGTGGTAGATAGCTATGGCCTGCAGTCCACATATAGCCCTCGCCTGTTTTTCTAAATAAAGTTTTACTGGAACACAGCCATGCTTATTCATTTATATATTGGGTATGGCTGCTTTCTTGCTACAGTGGTGGGGTCAAGTAGTTGCCACCAAGACTATATGGCCTGAAAAGCCTAAAATATTTATTTAAGTTTTTGAGACAGGGTCTCGCTCTGTCACCCAGGCTGAAATGCAGTGGTGCAATCTTGGCTCACTACAGCCTCAACCTTTTGGGCTCAAGCAATCCTCCCACCTCAGCCTCTTGAATAGCTGAGACTACAGGCACATGTCACCATACCTGGCTAATTTTTGTATTTTTTTGGTAGAGACCAGGTTTTACCATGTTGCCCAGGCTGGTCTTGAACTCCTGGGCTCAAGTGACCCACCTGCCCTGTGGCCTCCCAAAGTGCTAGGATTACAGGCGTGAGCCACCATGCCCAGCTCCCCAAAATATTTATCTTACAATTTATAGAAAAAGTTTATCAATAATTCCTAATGTATGCCTTCACTATTTCACACTAGATTTATTGCAGTAACTTCTTATTTGGTCATATGAAGTCTAGATTCTCTCCAACTATCTTTGCATAGCTTCCCTGTTAGAGCTACTCAAACACTTTTCATTTTCATCATTTTCTTGCTCAGTATAGGGTCAAACTTCCTTTTTCTGCCAATCAAAGCCTCTATTACAACAAAAGCAAGAAGTACAGGCATTAAAGAAGGAAGTAGGGGTGTATAATATTCACACCACATGCTACTATTTCTTCAATGACTGTGCTTATTTTCATCCTCTCTCAATAAGCCTTATGCCCAGATATATCCCAGTGTTATTAAGGTGCTCCAGTCCTCATTCCCTGTATGCAGTTCCCTCTTCCATCCCATCTGTCCCATCAAAGCTTGCACACGCTT
The DNA here is from genome assembly GCF_000001405.40 of Homo sapiens. NCBI lineage: Eukaryota > Metazoa > Chordata > Mammalia > Primates > Hominidae > Homo > Homo sapiens. The sequence continues at coordinate 38,457,816 of NC_000014.9, forward strand.
CACAGTTGGCTGCAGTTCTACGACCTCCTCATACAGTTCCAAATCCTATCACCTTTGCCTTTTCTAACATCCTGTAACATTTGTAGGTTGTAACACAGAACTTATGTCTTGATTGTCTGTTGTCTTAAATTATTTCCTCATAGACATGAAGCTCCCCCAAAGCAGAGTGCATTATTTCTGCTTTTCTAGAAGCTACTGGGCACATAGAGAAAACTTAATAAATACTGGTAGCTTTGACTTCTAAACTTTATGAGTAAATTATTATTAGCTGTTAGAATTATTGTTCAGAAAGCAATGCTATAGTCCCTGTTGCCACAGTAGGCTCCACAAACTGCATTTTTAGTTATACCCCAAAGCCTCAGCATAAATTAGAATCTAGAAATTCAGGTGATTGAACACAACAGGTGAAGAATATTCTACAGAAGGTTGTAGCTCAAAAAGCCTTCAGTTTTATACAGTTTTATATTTTAAATCACTTCCAATTTGTCATTCTAGGTACAGCACCTTAGAAGTGGCATATTTCACATTTAGTATGTTTTCATCATTGACAGAATATTCATTTTCTTAATACTTAGTCAATATTGCTTAAAAATCACATCCAGCATTTTTTAATCATATTTTTTTCTGGTTTCCAAAGCTAAAAAATAGACTTTATTGCAAATAATCAAAAAAGTAATTTGGAAGAACTTAAATTTGAATGAAATGTAAAACTCCAAAGCAATACATATACACACACTTGAAAATATATTTTTTAAAAGGTAAGACTTCACTTGCAGTGAGTTCAAATGCTTGGTGTGAAGTTGTCAGAACTCAGAATTGTGTGATCAGACTACAGAAAGAAAGTAAACTCCCTAAGTCAACCTAAGAATAATGCAGTCAAGGTAGAAAGAATAGCAAGCTACAAGATCAGGCTAGGTAATTTTCCTATAATAGTACTGCCCAAGAAAATATTTTGAAAGGTTCATTGTGACCCAAAAATATTTTGCTGCAGTTCAGTAACATTATCATATGTAAGTCCAAATAAAAAATAATAATTAATGAATACCCAACAAGGTGGGCAGAGCTTCCAGCATCCATATAATGAAAGACCTTTCTAGTCTGTGCTTCTCAAAGTCATAACAGCACACACATAAATGTCATCCAAAAATCCTAAATTACAAATAACATTTATTTTCAAGGCCCTGTCTCTTCTTTCTTGCCACCTCATGATTTTTGTTTTGTTTTTGGGTTTTTTTTTTTTTTGGAGTTTTCTGGAATACAAAACTATAAACCATAAAAAAATTCAGCAATATTTAGAGCTTAGTGATTAGGATAAAGAAAGTTTATGGAGATTAAATGGCCTCTGGGACAACCTAATTTGCTGTGATTTCTTTGTGTTGATGGCAAAGTATTGCAATTCATTGTTCGCTCCATGATTACTTCAGGATGCTCTTCCTAATCTCTTTCTTGCACCCTCAGGACTCAAGAGTGACCCTTTTTCAAGGGCTTTTGGGACCTCTGTTCACTGACTGGGAGAAGAAAACACAACACCAAGGTGAAGGCCCAAGGGCAAATGTAAATTTGACCTGGGTTCTGCTCCAACAGACTTCTTGTCATTTAGCAGCACTATAAATTTTAATATGATTCTTATTTCAACTCAGTGGCTTACTTTTAATCTTCAATCTTCGGAAGATATTGATCATATTCATCAGGTCATAGATGTGTCCTGGCTGCCACCATCAAGGCTTTTGTAGAGTAGCATACTCAGTTTTGGCTTAAATCCTTAGTTATTTTATTCTTTATGAAAATCATTTCTAATTTTCATTTTCATTGCTTTCTGTTTCACCCTGACAGTTACTTTAACTTCAAAAATATTATCACTAATCATAATTGACCAACTTAAACATTTATATATCTAATACTCATTTATCATTCTTTCAAACCACAGGTACTAGGTAACTACTGCATATATAGGCACTGAGTCCAGATCTGGGAACATCATAATAATTAAGGCAAATACAGCATTTGTCTTTGTGAAACTCATGGCTCGGTGGAGAGATGCAGGTGGTAATCAACTAAGCATAAAACAAATGTAAAATTGCTATTGCATCAAATATTATGCAAAAGAGGCATACCGTGCTATGAGAACCCATACACAATATTTTTTGGAAGATTAGATCATTCTTTCCTGAAGAAATGATGTTGGAACTAGATCTGAAGGATGAGTAGGAGTTGAACCAGGCAGAGGGGAGAGGTGAGTGTACTAGGTATGGTGAATAACATTACGAAGACCCTGTGGTAGAAGGCTACCTAGGGAGTACAAGGGATTGAGAGAAAGTCAGTGTGGCTGAGCAGAGAGAGCAAGGGGGGTTTTCGTGTAAGAAGGATCTAAGTCCTGTTGATTCCACTTTCAGACTATCTCTTGATTGTGTCCATTTCTCTCAGTCTCCACTTCTGCTACCCTACCTAAGAATATAATCAAATACAGGTCTCTCCTAGAATAATGCATCTGCCTACTATCCACTCTTATTATTTCACTCTTGTCCCCTCCAGTTGATTCTCTGTATTGTAGCCAGTGATCTTTTCCATGCAAATTAATCACTTCTCTGCTTAACACCAATCAGTAGCATTCTACTTTTCGTATGTTAATAAATCTATCAGAACTACCTGAATGCCTTCAATGCTCCTGACACTCTGGCCTTCTCTCTATACCTCCAGAGAACACATGTGCAAGCTATTCCCTCTACATGGAAGTTTCTTACCTCTCCACCTGGCAACCAGATGTGGCTTCCTTAAACAGGGCTTTGGTGATTAAAACCTCAGCCCCAACTAGGACAGAGTTGGGGGTGAGGCCCAAACAGGGCCCTGGTGATAAAAACCTCACCCCCAACTACGACATCCTGCTTGGGGAATGTGGTTGACTTTTATTTTATTCTCCATATTTTTGCCTATACATTCTGAATTCTTACAATGACTATGTGATGGTTTTATAAGAAAGGTGTAAATATTATTCATTTAAAAAGAACAAAAAAGGAGGGAGAAAAAGTTCTGATTCACTTTTCTTTTGGACATTTTGTGACTATCTTTGAACCTATCAGTTACAGTCAGTGCTGCCAAAATGAGGTCATAGATCTACCTCCGGTTTCCAAACATGATGCTGCAAATTAAGGCTCCTTTTGATCTAGGACATTTTTCATTCTGCTAAAAATAATTTTTGCATGAAAGCTACTAGGCAGTCTGACATGAGACAATTTGCTTTAAAATGTTCTTGATGTGGTAACAAAAGATCCTGGATGTACTGATCTAATTCTTTGTTCTACAGAGAAGACTCAGTTATTTTTTGTGTTGTACATACCACTATTGTTTGTAGGATTAAAAGATTCTTGTGGGTATAGACCTTCCACATAAGCTTTGAGACAAACAAAAGGATAAAATTAATTATATAAATCAGGAAAAATCTGGCATACCAAAAGCTAATCTATGGTGTAATGTGTACACTTAGCAATACTAACTTTGAGTATGTATTGTTGATCCAATGCTAAGTACCATACAAGATTTCCTCCAGGATTGAAAGTGCATTGTTCAGCTCTTGGAATGAATTCTTAAGATCTCTCTATATATTAAGAACCATGGAATAAGAATCCAATTAACATGGAATAGATTCACAACTAACAGTGTAGCCCACAGTGTGAGTACCTTTATTTTTAGCACACAATGCACTAAAGAAGATCTACATCCCGTTTACCGTCTGAATCCTGCACAAGTCCATCTTTCATACCGACTTGAACATTCTTAGGCAGATGCTACAACATAAGTAAGCCATTCTGTAACCACAACTTTGCTTGACTAAGTAAAACACTCAAAAGTACTTAATATAACAAACTTTATTAATACATTGAAAAGAAGTTCCAGGCAAAACTTAGCGTTTCCTTATTTTTTCTTCAACTTTAAGTTCAGGGGTACATGTTCTAGATGTGCAGGTTTATTACATAAGTAAACATGTGCCATGGTGGTTTGCTGCACAGATCATCCCATCACCTAGGTAGTAAGCCCAGCATCCATGAGCTATTCTTCCTGATGATCTCCTTCCCCCTGGCCCCACAATGACAGTCCCCAGTGTGTGTTGTTCCCCTCCAATGTTTCCATGTGTTCTCATCATTCAGCTCCAACTTATAAGTGAGAACATGTGGTGTTTGCTTTTCTGTTCCTGCATTAGTTTACTGAGGATAATGGCTTCCAGTTCCATCCATGTCCTGATCCTTTTTATGGCTGCATAGTATTCCATGGTGTATATGTACCACATTTTTTTAAAACTTTAAGTTCCGGAACACATATGCAGAATGAGCAGGTTTCTAATATAGGTACACATATGCCATGGTGGTTTGCTGCACCTATTGACCCATCCTCTAAGTCCCCTCCCCCGACTCCCCATCCCCCAACAGGCCCAGTATGTGTTGTTCCCCTCCCTGTGTCCATGTGTTCTTATTGTTCAATTCCCACTTATGAGTGAGACATGTGGTGTTTGGTTTTCTGTTCCTGTGTTAGTTGGCTGAGAATTATGGCTTCCAGCTTCATCCATGTCCCTGCAAAGGACATGATCTCATTCCTTTTTATGGCTGCATAGTATTCCATGGTGTATATGTACCACATTTTCTTTATCTCGTCTATCATTGATGAGCATTTGGGTTGGTTCCAAGTCATTGCTATGGTAAATAGCACTGCAATAACCATACATGTGCATGTGTCTTTATAATAGGATAATTTATATGCCTTTGGGGATATACCCAGTAATGGGATTGCGGGGTGAAATGGTGTTTCTGGTTCTAGATCCTTGAGGAATCCCCACACTGCCTTCCAGAATGGTTGAACTAATTTACATTCCCAACAACAGTGTAAAAGCATTCCTATTTCTCCACAGCCTCAACAGCATCTATTGTTTCTTGACTTTTTAATAATCACCATTCTGACTGTCATGAGATGGTATCTCATTGTGGTTTTGGTTTGCATTTTTCTGATGATCAGTGATGTTGAGCTTTTTTTCATATGTTTGTCGGCCGCATAAATGTCTTCTTTAGAGAAGTGCCTGTTCATATCCTTTGCACACTTTTTGATGGGGTTGTTTTTTCTTGTAAATTTGCTTAAGTTCCTTGTAGATTCTGGATATTACACCTTTGTTGGATGCGTAGATTGCAAAAGTTTCCTCCCATTCTTTAGGTTGCCCGTTCACTCTGATGATAGTTTCTTTTGCTGTGCAAAGCTCTTTAGGTTAATTAGATCCCATTTGTCAATTTGCCTTTTGTTGCAATTGCTTTTGTCATTTTTGTCATGATCTTTGCCCATGCCTATGTCCTGAATGGTATTGCCTAGGTTTTCTTCTAGAGTTTGTACGGTTTGGGGTTTACGTTTAAGTCTTTAATCCATCTTGAGTTAATTTTTGCAAAAGGTGTAAGGAAAGGGTCCAGTTTCAGTTTTCTGTATATGGCTAGCCAGTTTCCCCAGCACCATTTATTGAATAGGGAATCCTTTTCCCATTGCTTGATTTTGTCAGGTTTGTTGAAGATTGGATTATTGTAGATGTGTGGTCTTATTTCTGAGGTCTCTATTCTGTTCCTTTGGTCTATATGTCCGTTTTGGTACAGTACCATGCTGTTTTGATTCCTGTGGACTTGTAATATAGTTTGAAGTCAGGTAGCATGATGCCTCCAGCTTTGTTCTTTTTGCTTAGGATTGTCTTGGATATATGGGTTCTTCTTTGGTTCCATATGTAATTTAAAGTAGTTTTTTCTAATTCTGTGAAGAATGTCAATGGTAGTTTGATGGGAATAGCATTGAATCTATAAATTATTTTAGGCAGTATGGCCATTTTCACAATATTGATTCTTCCTACCCATGAGGATGGAATATTTTTCCATTTGTTTGTGTCCTCTCTTATTTCCTTGAGCAGTGGTTGGTAGTTCTTCTTGAAGATGTCCTTCATGTCCCTTGTTAGCTGTATTCTTAGGTATTTTATTCTCTTTGTAGCAAGCGAATGGGAGTTCACTCATAATTTTGCTCTCTGCTTGTCTATTGTTGGTGTAGAGGAATGCTTGTGATTTTTACACATTGATTTTGTTTTCTGAAACTTTGCTGAAGTTGCTTATCAGCTTAAGAAGCCTTTGGGCTGAGACGATGGGGTTTTCTAAATACAGAATCATGAATCATGTTGTCTGCAAACAGAAACAATTTGACTTCTTCTCTTCCTATTTGAATACCTTTTATTTCTTTCTCTTGCTTGAATTCCCTGGCCAGAACTTCCAATACTATGTTGAATAGGATTGGTGAGAGAGGGCATCCTAGTCTTCTACTGGTTGTCAATGGGAAATCTTTCAGCTTTTGCACATTCAGTATGATATTGGCTATGGGTTTGTCATAAAATAAGTTCTTATTATTTTGAGATATGTTCCATCAATGCCTAGTTTATTGAGAGTTTTTAACCTGAAGGGATGTTGAATTTTATCAAAGGCATTTTCTGCATCTATTGGGTTAATCATGTGGTTTTTGTCTTTGGTTCTGTTTGTATAATCAATTATGTTTATTAATTTGCATATGTTGAACCAGCCTTGCATCCCCGGGATGAATGTGAATTGATCATGGTGGATATGTTTTTTGATGTACTGCTGGAATTCATGTGTCAGTATTTTCTTGAGGATTTTCACATTGACCTTCATCAGGGATATTGGTCTGAAGTTTTCTTTTGTGTTGTTGTTGTGTCTTTGCTAGGTTTTGGCATCAGGTTGATGCTGCCTTTATAAAATGAGTTTGAGGGGAGTCCCTCCTTTTCAATTGTTTGGAATAGTACCTCTGGTAGAATTCTGCTGTGAATCCATCACATCCTGGGCTTTTTTTGGTTAGTAGGCTATTAATTACTGCCTAAATTTCAGAACTTGTTATTTATCTACTCAGGGATTTGACTTCTTTCTGGTTTAGTCTTGGGAGGGTGCATGTGTCCAGGATTTTATCCATTTCTTCCAGATTTTCTAGTTCATTTTGCATAAACGTGTGTATAGTATTCTCTGATGGTAATGTGTATTTCTGTGGCATCAGTGGCAATATTCCCTTTATCATTTTTTATTGTGTCTATTTGATTCTTCTCTCTTTTCTTTTTTATTAGTCTAGATAGAAGTCTATTTTGTTGTTGTTGTTTTTTTTTTTTTTTTTTTTTTTCCAAAAAAAACAGCTCCTGGATGTATTGATTTTTGGAGCACTTTTCTTGTCACTATATTCTTCAATTCTGCTCTCATCTTAATTATTTCTTGTCTTCTGCTATCTTTTGTATTTGTTTGCTCTTGTTTCTCTAGCTCTTTTAATTGCAATGTTAGGATATTGACTTGAGATCTTTCTAGCTTTCTGATGTGGGCATTTAGTGCTATAAACTTTCCTCTTAACACGGCTTTAGACGTGTTAAGTGTTATGTTGTCTCTTTGTTCTCATAGGTTCCAAAGAACTTCTTGATTTCTGCCTTAATTTCATTATTTACCCAGGAGTCATTCAGGAGCAGGTTGTTCAATTTCCATGTAATTGTGTGGTTTGGGAGTGAGTTTCTTAATCCTGAATTTTAATTTGATTGCACTGTGGTCTGAGAGGCTGTTATGATTTCAGTTCTTTTGCATTTACTGAGGAGTGTTTTACTTCCAATTATGTGGTAGAATAAATATCATGGGGCACTGAGAAGAATGTATATTCTCCTGATTTGGGGTGGAGAGTTCTGTAGCTGTTGGTTAGGTCCATTTTATCCAGAGCCAAGTTCAAATCCTGAATATCCCTGTTAATTTTCTGCCTTGTTGATATGTCTAATATTGACAGTGGGGTGTAAAAATTTCTCACTATTATTGTGTGGGAGTCTAAATCTCTTTGGAGGTCTATAAGAACTTGTTTTATGAATCTGGGTGCTCCTGTATTGGGTGCATGTATATTTACAATAGTTAGCTCTTCTTGTTAAATTAATTGCTTTACCATTATGTAATGCCCTTCTTTGTCTTTTTTGATCTTCGTTGGCTTAAAGTCCATTTTGTCAGAGACTAGGTTTGCAACCCCTGTTTGTTTGCTTTCCATTTGCTTGATAAATTTTCCTCCATCCCTTTATTTTGAGCCTACGTGTGTCTTTGCACCTGAAATAGGTCTCCTAAATACAGCACACTGATGGCTCTGGACTCTTTATCCAATTTGCCAGTCTGTGTCTTTTAATTGGGGGCATTTAGCCCATTTACATTTAAGGTTACTATGGTTATATGTGAATTTGATCCTGTCATCATGATGCTATCTGGTTATTTTGCACAGTAGTCGATGCAGTTTCTTCATAGTGTCATTGGTCATTGGTCTTTATAGTTTGGCGTGTTTTTGCAGTGGCTGGTACCGCTTTTTCCTTTCTATATTTAGTGCTTCCTTCATGAACTCTTGCAAGGCAGTCCTGATGGTGACAAAATCCCTCAGCATTTGCTTGTCTGAAAAGCATTTTATTTCTCCTTTGCTAATGAAGCTTAGTTTGGCTAGATATGAAATTCTGGTTTGAAAATTATTTTCTTTATAAATGTTGAATATTGGTCCCCACTCTCTCCTGGCTGCAGGGTTTCTGCTGAGAGATCCACTCTTTGTCTGATGGACTTCCCTTTGTAGGTGACCTGGCCTTTCTCTCTGGCTGCTCTTAACATTTTTTTCTTCATTTTGACCTTGGAGAATCTGATAAGTATGTGTCTTGGGGGTAATCTCATGGTATATCTTAATGGTGTTCTCTGTATTTCCTGAATTTGAATGTTGGTCTGTCTTGTGAGGTTGGGGAAGTTCTCCTGGATAATATCCTGAAGTGTGTTTTCCAGTGTGTTTCCATTCTGTCTTTTTCCAGTATTCCAATCAATCATAGGTTCAGCGTTTTTACATAGTCCCATATTTCTCGGAGGCTTTGTTTGTTCCTTTTCATTCTTTTTTTCTCTAATCTTATCTGCATGCCTTATTTCAGCAAGGTGGTCTTCAAACTCTGATATCCTTTCTTCTGCTTTCAATTTGGCTATTGATATTTGCATTTATGTTCCTCTCTAAACTGGTTATTCTAATTAGCAGCTCCTTTAAACTTTTATCTGGTTCTTAGCTTCTTTGCATTGGGTTAGAACATGCTGTTTTAGCTCAGTGGAATTTGCTATTACACATCTTCTGAAGCCTACTTCTGTTAATTCATCCATCTCATCCTTTGTCCATTTCTGCACCCTTGCTAGAGAGGCGTTGCGGTCATTTGGAGAAGAGGTACTCTGGCCTTTTGGGTCTTCAGCGTTTTCTCATTGATTCTTTCTGATCTTCATGAGTTTGTCTAGTTTTGATATTTGAGGCTGCTGACCCTTGGATGGGGTTTTTGTGGGGACTTTTGTTGTTGATGCTGTTGACGTTGTTTTCTGTTTGTTTTTCTTTCAATAATCAGGTCCCTCTTCTGTAGGGCTGCTGTGGTTTGCTGGGGGTTCACTTCAGACCCTATTCATTTAGTTTGCTCCCACACCTGGAGATGTCACTCAAGAAGGCTGGAGAACACCAAAAATGGGTGCCTGCTCCTTCCTCTGTGATGTCTGACCTTGAGGGGTGCCAACCTAATGCCTGTATAGGGTGTCTGACAACCCCTATTGGAGGGTCTCACCCAATTGGGTGGCATGGGGAACAAGACCCATTTAATAAAGCACTTTGACTGTGCCTTAGTGGAAGGGGTGTGCTTCACTGGGGGGAAACCCACCCATCTGGGCTGCCTGGATTCCTCAGATCTAGCAGGAGGAAAAGCTAAGTCTGCTGGTCCATGGATACTATGGCCACCACTTCCCCAGAGGCTCAGGCCCAGGGAGATCAGAGTTCTGTCCCTGAGCCCCTGGCTGGAGTTTTTCGAGTTCTCGAAGGGAGGCCCCACCTAGTGAGGAGGGATGGGTCAGGGTCAGGCCTGAAGAGGCGCTATGGCCACAGTCTGCCACAGCCCGTATATTGGGCTGGGGGGACACCTGTTGGGACCAAGCTGTCCAGCCTCCCTGACTCCAGCAGGGGAAAAGCATGGCCTGTAGCTATAGAGATGGCTGCCTCCCTTCCCCTTCCCAGGGAGCCTAGAATGTTAGGCAGCTATCAGTCCCAGTGCTGGCTGCTGACCTTCACACAAGGAGCTCAAATGGCTTAGACTGCAGGCAGTCGCAGCTATGGTGCTGTCGGCCCCTGCTCCTGGGAACTCAGCAGGCTTAAGCAGATTCTAGTTGAGAGACAGTTGAGAATCTGTGCAGATCTGGGGTTGGGTCCCTAGGCCCTGGTGGCATGGGTTCACAAGTGGGATCTTCCAATCCATGGGTTTCACAGTTCTATGGAGAAAGCACAGTTTCCTGCGCTGGGTAGTATGCTTGCTCACTGCCTTCCTTGGTGCAGGGGTAGGGGCTCCCCTGCCCTGTGTGGCTCTCAGGTGGGCCGCTGCACCACATTGCTGTTCTTTCCTCTCTGTGGGTCACGCCAGCCACCTAGTCAGTTCTGATGAGAGAACCTGGATACTTTGGTTGCCGGTGCAGGATTCACACATTATTATGGTTCCCAAAGAGTCTATCCCAACTCCACTGAGTCCTTGGACATTTGGCCTTGAGATTTCAAGGCCATATGCATTTTTCTTGTTTGAGATAAGAAATGGGTACAGCTAAAGGAGACTAACTATGACATCTTCCATATTTTTTATCTGCCACAAATTTACACTTTGCACCACTCTGCGGGGTCCTCATAGTGACCCATCTACTGTCTAAGATACATCTGGCATGACTGCTTCCTTCAGTCAAACTCTAATGCTGCACTTCCTACCCCACTCTACCCTAAGCCTTGGTCCCTCCAGTTCAATCTCTTCAGAACTTATTTCTGGATAGGGTCAATAAAATCATTTATGCTAAAATTAAACTGTGTTAAAATGTTCTTCTTCTTGCATAATATATTTTTATTTTTGGCAAGTTTTTTGTCTATTTTGTAGAAGGGAGTCCTTTTTTTTTCCCTTTAAGTCAACACCCTAACCAAAACAAATTAATGAAAACTTCGGTACCTCAGAAGACAAGCAAAATCATATGATTATATATAATAATTCTTATATATATATAAATTAAAATGTGAATTTCAAGATGTTCAAGTCACTCATAAAGTCAACAGCTTAAGATATATACAAATTAAAAAGTGCTTCTTGTGCACACATTTGATTCAAATATCTACCCTGGCACATATCTAGATTTTATTCTGGAGAAAAACAATAAAAATTCAACGAGAATAACTGAATTTGAAACAAAGAAATTCTGTGTTTCAGAGACATCCAAAAATTCAAAATTGAATATTAAAACTCATCTCCAGGATCAATTTTGTTTTTAAAAACAATTTTAAAAATCAGTGGAATGCAGAAGTGAAAATAAATAGGAATCCATCATATAAAAATTCATTCTGCCTAGCCATATGTCCAATGTTCTCTTTTACCTACCCACATCCACAACTGAAAAGTGTTGTTTTTGTTGGACCCTAAGAGTTACATTACTCAGTCACAGTGAAATCATGATTGCTATGGATCTTGTACTATTGTGCAACACATAAGCTAGGATTGCAGCACTTGTGTAGTTTAGATATAGAGTTAAAATATTTAATGTGAAATACATAATTTTGAAATAAACGTCTCTCAAAGCAAGATTGCTTTAGTATATTTTATCACGTAACCTAATGGTATATTATGTAACCACTTAAAAGTACATTTAAAATGCTATATAGAAGTAATAAAATGTTTATAACTTTATAAAAAAGTTGAAATAGAACATGCCATATAATAACTCTAAATATAAACAATTAAAGGCTTAGAAAGCAATATGCAAAAAAAGAAAGTTGTGATTAAGTAATTAGATTAAGAATGATTTATTATGATTTTTCTTCAATGTTGGTAATAATTTCAACTAAAAATAACAAAGTTAATGTTTTCATATTTAGCTGTGACTTTCTGCTGTTAACAGATACTCACGGATGTGCTTTCAAATTGTGGAAAGTCATAAAATCATCTGCCTTTCAGTATATTATGATAGCAATATTCTTTTAAACACCAAATTGTGGAACGTATATACCCCATTTAAGGCATTCCATATTTAAGATTTCTCATCTGATTTCATCATTTCTTCTTGGTGAGTGCTATTGGCTGATGAGTTTATTTATTTTCCTTTGGTTCAGAGCAAATATTTTCACTATTCAAATTATGCTTTGAACATCATACTACTAATTACACACAAAGTATGGTTCCTTCATAATCTTTTATGACATTATCAATAGAAAGCAAATCAATGCATATCTCCAACCAAGAATTCCAAGTTCGTGCAGCTTATACAAACATCAGTTTGACTAGAAATATGTATATGTTTATTTTTATTTTCTGACTAGAAAGAAAAGAACAACTGAAGAATGTTAATGACCCCACTTACATAAAAATGTATAGGTGACTATCAGACTTTCTGAAACATTATGTATATATAGTCATGCCTCATTTAATGATAGAAATATGTTCTGAGAAATATGCCATTGGGTGATTTTGTCATTGTGGGAAATCATGCAGCATACTTACAAAAATCTAGATGGCATAGCTCACTACACACTTAGGCTATAAGATATAGCCTATTGCTCCTAGGCTACAAGCTTGTATATGTATAGCATGTTACTGTATTGAATACCATAAGCAATTGTGACACAATTGTATTTGTATATCTAAACATATTTGAATATGGAAAAAGTAATATGTTACACTATGACCTTATGACAGTTGTGATGTCACTAGGTGGTAGGAATTTTTCTACTCCATTATAATCTTATGGGACCATCATCATATACATGGTCATTCATTGACCAAAATGTCATTATGCAGGGCATGACTGTATAGGGACAATTTAGATTTAAATATTTGTCTAGTAATTGGTGTCATAAAATGGGGAGAAAATCTTCATGTAATCATTAAAGAGGATTTCTAATATCTGCCCTGGGTTAATGGTCAAACAAAGCAGGCACAGGGATGCAGAATCATGTGTGTCAGGAAACCACACAAGCCTCCTGCCAGGTAACTCCTAGAGGTCATTATCACAGAACATTCCCTAAAGGCCCTTCTCTTCCTTTTGGGTTGCCTCCATCACCACCACTACAGTCCTCTTTTCTCTCCTTTACCAGCCGACTCCCACCTAATCAATATTGAGGGACCTTGTTTCCCCTTGAGTTCTTAAAATTGAAGGTCACAATGCAGAAAAATATAGGTGAGTTTGATTTTTCCATTAGCTTAGTCCCACTAAAAGGGGAACCCTCTGCGTTCCAGACATGAATGTTAAACAGCAGATTCTAAAGCCGACAGCAGCACATCCACCTCCCACTATCTGAATTTCTGACACATTTCAAAATGGCAGGTACTCCAGTCTATAATTCATAGAACCTATCACTTCGTTCCAGCCACCTCTTCTCTTGAAGGAGACCTCTGTGATCTTTGGAGTTTTGTCTTAGCCTCACTCATCTTCCTGTTAGGTTATGGTTAATATGTGACAACTTATACCTCTCCCATAAAATCAAGATTCTAGAAATTTAATGTTAAAACATTTCCTAAGCAAGAGGAGATAAATAGTGTATTAGTCTGTTTTGTGTTGCTACAAAGGAATACCTGAAGTAGGCAATTTATAAAGAAAAGAGGGTTATTTGGCCCATGGTTCTGCAGGCTGTACAAGCATGGTACCAGCATCTGTTTCTAGTAAGGGCTTCAGGGAGCTTTTGCTCATGGCAGAAGGCAAGCAGGGCTGACCAGCCACATGGTGAGAGAGGAAGCAAGAGAGAAATGGGCTCTTTTAAACAATCCAATCTCAGGGGAACTAACAGAATGAGGACTTACTCATTATTGTGGAAAGGGCACCAAGCCATTCATGAGAGATCTGCCCCCACGACCCTAACACCGTCCACTAGGCTCCAACTCTAATACTGGGGGTCACATGTCAACATGAGATTTGCAGGGAGCATATATCCAAACTATATTATTGATGAGTTTAGTAAGATAAATGGGTCACTCATTATAGTAAAAGTCTTGATTCCTTGAGCAATTAGAGGCCAGGCATTACAGTAAACACTTTCAATATCATTTAATCCATATAAAAATCCCATTTGACAAATAAGAACATTGATGAATATTTCAATTCAAGTCTGGCTGACTCCAACACACTTGTACTATACTCCACTATCACCCAATCTCTATACTGAATATACTAACCTGCCCTGTCCATTGTCTCTGTGCTCAGGTCCTAGATCCTGCACTCCTATTTATTTGGAATCTTAACACGAAACCCAATATTAGTTGTAAAATAGGACCATCTCTATGCATTAGTTATCAATTGGTGCATAACAACTTGCTCTGAAATTTGGCAGTTTAAAACAGCAAGTATTTATTTTCTCCATTTCTGTAGATCACAAGCCTGGGCATGGCTTATTTGGGCTCTCTGGCTCAACAACAGTTCCTCATGAGATTGGAGTTGAGCTATTGGCCAAGGCTGCAGTTTCATATAAAGGTTTGACTGGGGCTGAGGGAAGTTGGAGGATCTGCTTCCAAGCTCACTCATGTGGAAGTTGGCAGTCCCCAGTCCCTTCCCACATGAACCTTTTACAGAATTTTCTCAAAACATGGCAGCTTGTTTCTTCCTGAAGAGTGATCTGAGAAAGCGGAGAAAGAACAAAAGACAGTCCTCAAGACAGAAGCCACAGTATATTATAATCTAATCATGGGTTATATGCTATAACTTCTGCTATATTCTCTTCACTACAAGCAAGTCACAAATTCAGCTCATACTAAAGCAGAGAGGATTATATAAGGTGTGAACACCTGTAAGCTAGGCCATTTGGTTCCATCTTAGAGGTTGCCTACCCCACTCCCCCAACACTCCCACCACCTATGTGTCATCCCCCTGTGTCCCTTCATCTTTAAGTCATAATTGTGCTTATCAATAGCAGGGATTTTATACATGTTTATCTAACTCTTAGCCATTGTTCTTGGGCTCAGGAGTCTGACTTTCGTCTTAAAAAGATACTTGAAATCTTTATTATATAATGCCAGAAGTCTTTTTCATGTTTCTTATTGTTGGGTTAAGTTGTTCAGACTATAGTGGAAGCTAGATTTGCGTTGGAGGGAATCTTGACTTTCTCTTCTTCTGCTTGCCAATATAGGCCCTGGCTCCCCTAATGTGAGCCTCCAAGTTTAGTCAGCCCCTCTATTATTTCTAAATGAGCAAAATATTTTCATACCTAACCTGTAATAATTTATCTGAATATACTTATATGAGCTTCAGATGATTTTTACTAGTTTTAAATGCCTACCCTACCTGCACTCCATAGCCTCATACCCCAGTCCCTCATTCTTGCCTTTCCCGGAATAAATCTTTTCCAGGGCACACCTTTCTCATCCTTACCTTCAGAGATTTTTTTCCCTGGTGTCAGATCTTCCTGCACTAGTATGTAGTCATCTCTTTCACTGCTGCTTCTAGGAAGCTCCTTGACTTGGGGTCCTTCCTTCAGTCTTATTCAAGTTGCTGCTCCATAGCTTTTACCAAGTTGCCACAACAAATTATGCTGTTTGGTGAAGCTTAGTCCTTTCTAACTTTCAACCTAGTATTAGTACTTGACCTGGTCATAATAATGTTCTCAAATTTTATTTTACTTTGCTACAAACATTTTTCAGGTGAAGATTCCATAACACATTTCCTCTATCAGCTTTCACTTTCTGGTAGAAGAAAAAATGAAATACCAATGAAGTAATCACTTTGAGAAGATTTTTGAGGGTTTATATTTTCACATTTGATTCAGTAAGAGGAATATGAGTAATTCACATTTGAATTGTTATCTTTATATGTTTTAAAGTTATATATTGAGGCCAAGTGCAGTGGCTCATGACTATAATTCTATCGCTGTGGGAAGCCAAGGCAGAAGGATTGCTTGAGGCCAGTTGTTTGAGATCAGCCTGGGCAACATAGCAAGACCCCATCTCTACAAAAGAAAAACTTTAAAAAATAGCTAGGCATGGTAGTGCACACCTGTAGTCTCAGCTACTTGGAAGGCTGAGGTGGGAGGATCACTTGAGGCCAGGAATTCAAGGTTGCAATAAGCTATGATTGTGCCACTGCACTCCAGAGAGGGTGACAGAATGACTCTGTCACAAAAATCATAAAATAGCATTAAATGAAGTTAGATATTAAGAGATTATAGCTCTAAATATACATTAAAATTTATTATAAAGCTAAGCAAATCATCTATAACAAATACCTTGATAATAATGAAGACAAATAATGATAATTTATTGTTAGGAAAAACAGGAATCAAAAAAATCAAAGCAAAATTAATGCTGACGATTTACTGCTATGTAAAGCATTCTTTCCTAAAATTTCAGAAATTTCATCTATCAGTCTGTATGCATGAGCAATGGGACTTGCCCAATAGTACCAAGTATTAATGGAATACTTAAAGAGATTTCTGAGTATAGTCATCCTTGGCATTTGTTGGAGAATGACTCCAGGACCCCTGCAGATACCAAAATCCATGGATCCTCAAATCCTGCAGTCAGCCCTGTGGGACCCACAGACAGGAAAAGGCCCTCCATTATCTGCAGGTCCCACATCCAAATAATACTGTATTTTCAATCTGTGGTTGATTGAATCCTCAGATGCAGAACCTGCAGATACAGAGGGTCAATTGTACTTTAACAATATAGTAACATTAGTTTAAAAATATTACTAGTTAATCCTTTATAATTTGCTTAACTTACTAGTCAACAATGCTAAGTTGTACCTAAAAATTCTATTGCTTTGTCTATCATCCATTCATAAGACAAAAAAGAAAGGGCATACATTTTCAACTAAATTTTCAGCACAGCAAGGAAAATTCTTGGCTATTACAGGTCCACATCCTTTGACAGCCATAGAATCACATATAGTTGAGAATTTTTCAGATTTAAGAAAAAAGACAGTGCATATACTGTATATGATATACCAACCAAAGTGCCAGGAGCAGTACCCTGTAACCAAATACATTAGTATGTTTGTGGTAAAACATATATTAAGTGAGATAAAGACTATAAATAACTTTAAATCATTTCAGATCTGCATTTGATGCCAAATGAGTTTACATCAAATTTAAGAAAAATCTTTTGGCTCTATTAATTTGGGGATTTTGTAGTTTGTGGTGAAGAGATTGTAGATTTATACAGTGTTCCAGGTTGCTTTTCAGAGCTGAAATGTTTGAACCACTCTGAGGTTAATAATTACCAGTGCCCACCTCCATGATCTTTCTATAAAAACTCCCATGAGTTTCTCCAACGCCATTATTTTCCCGTTTCTACTAAAGCAGTGAAAAACTAAGGAAATGTGCATGTGCTTTTTATCCTTATCAACTTTACTGAGAATTATTTTTCAATAAGTAATTTACATACAATAAAAGAAATCCATTCAAAGTATACAAATCTATGAGTTTTGACAGTTGCATACACCTGTGAAACCAAGGCCATGATCAAGATATAAACCATTTCCAATATCTTCAAAAGATTTCATATGCCCTTTATAATTCATTCCTTTCTCCACTTTCCCACTCCACTTCACCATTTGGCCACTGTTCTGCCTTTTTTTCCACACAGATTAGTTTTCATTTTATATCATAGAATCATATAGTATGTCCTCTTTTGTATCTCTTTCTTTCACTCTGCATAACGTTTTTGAGACTCCTCCATGTTGCTGCATGTATCAGCAGTCCCTCTTTTCATTCTTCAGTATTATTTTAACATACAGCATACCACATTTTGTTTATCATTTATCTTTTGACAGATATTTATATTGTTTCCAGTTTGGGACTATTGTCAATCAAGCAGCTCTCTTTGCATGCACACACATTTTCCCTTCTCTTTGGAATCAAACCCTAGGATCAAAAAAGAAGGATCAACTAGTATATGTATATTCAACCTATTAAGAAACCAGCATTTTTTTCCCAGAGTCGTTTGTCTATATTTCTATTGGGTTACTTTTCTTCTTGTGATTGTGCTGTAAGAGTTCTCTTCTCTGGACACAAGTCCTTTGTCAAAGACACATATTGGAATATTTTCTCCCATGTTATGGCTTGCCTTTTCATTTTTAATGGATATCTTTTGAAGAACAAACGTTTTGAATTTTGATAAAATTCAATTGATCAACTTTTTCACTTATCACTAAGATTTTCTCCTACTCTTTAAAGAGTTTTAGAGTTTTAGATTCATATTTAAACTTACTACTCTTTGGAGTTAATTTTTTTGTGTGGTGTGAAATAAGGGTCAATATTCCTTTTTAAAATAAATCTCTCCCATTGTTCTGGCACCATTTGATTTAAAATACTTTATTTCTCTACCAAATTATCTTGACATTTGTTGTTGAAAATCAGTTGTCCATGTATGTGTGCCATTATTCCTAGGCTTGATATTCTGTTTCCCTGACATATGTATCTATCCTCTGGACAATATTGCCATCAAGCAAGAGGCACCTGTTGATTATTATCAGGAGCAGAAATCTGATCACTTCTGCCCACTGCATCTTAGTATCAGGCTCACCAAGGAAAACACAACCAGTCAAGCACTGAAAGACACAGAGCAAAATCAGCTTCATTACTGAGTGTTAGTCCCAATGGCCAGCAGGTCCCTCCTGGCAGCCCTTAATGGACAGTTGGCCTGCACACAGCCCCCTTGTGCTACAGCAACAGGACCCTATCTTTTCTCTGCACAAAATGGATGTAACGGTGTGTTTAGCCAGGTACCATATGATACACACACTTAAATAAAAAAGGATTACACAATGAGTCTGAAAGAGGGAAAGATATCTCCACACAGGGTGATAAGTGCAGCACAGAATTTGAGGATTCTGTGTCTCTTAGTAAGAATTCCTAGCCCAAGGTCCCTTCTTTTCTTTTCTAATTTTTAAAAAATTGTATATATTTAAGTTGTACAAGATAATGTTTTGCTATATATATTGATATGGTTTGGATGTATCTCCACCCAAATCTCACCTTGAATTGTAACTTCCACAATTCCCACATGCCATGGGAGGAACCTGGTGGAAGGTAATTGAATCATGGGGGCGGGACTGTCTTGTGCTATTCTTGTGATAGTGAATAAGTCAAATGAGACTGATGGTTTTAAAAATGAGTTTCCCTGCACAAGCTCTCTCTCTCTTTGCCTGCTGCCATCCACATAAGATGTGACTTACTTCTCCTTGCCTTCCACCATGATTGTGAGGCCTCTCTCTCTAGCCATGTGGAACTGTAAGTCCAATAAACCTCTTTCTTTTGTAAATTGACCAGTCTCAGGTATGTCTTTATCAGCATCATAAAAATGGACTAATATAGCAAATTGGTGCCAGTAGAGTGGGGCACTACTGAAAAGATACCCAAAAATGTGGAAGTGACTTTGAAACAGAGTAACAGGCAGAAGTTGGAACAGTTTGGAGGGCTCAGAAGGAGAGAGAAAAATGTGAAAAAAGTTGGAACTTCCTAGAGACTTGTTGAATGGCTTTGACCAAAATGCTGATAATGATATGGATGATGAAATCCAGGCTGAGGTGGTCTCAGATGGAGATGAGGAACTTGTCTGGAACTGAAGCAAAGGTGACTCTTGTTAGGTTTTAGCAAAGAGACTGGTGGCATTTTGCCCCTGCCCTAGAGACTTGTGGAACTTTGAGCTTGAGGGAGATGACTTAGAGTATCTGGCAGAAGAAATTTATAAGCAGTAAAATATTCAAGAGGTGACTTGGGTGCTGTTAAAAGCATTCAGTTTTATAAGGGAAGCAAAGCATTAAAGTTCAGACGTTTGCAGCCTGGCAATATGATAGAAAAGAAAATCCCATTTTCTGAGGAGAATTTCAAGCCAGCTGAAGAAATTTGAATAAGTAACGAAGGGCCAAATGTTAATCCCCAAGACAATGGGGAAAATGTCTCCAGAGCATGTCAGAGGTCTTCACAGCAGCCTCTCATATCACAGGTCCAGAGGCCTAGGAGGAAAAAATGGTTTCGTGGGCCAGGCCCAGGATCCCTGTGCTGTGTGCTGCCTAGGGACTTGGTGCTGTGCATCTCAGCCACTCCAGCTGTGACTAAAAGGGGCCAAAATATAGTTCTGGCCATGGCTTCAGAGGATGCAAGCCCCAAGCCTTGGCAACTTCCATGTGGTTTTGAGCCTGCAGGTGCACAGAAATAAAGAATTGAAGTTTGGGAACCTCTACCTAGATTTCAGAAGATGTATGCAAATGCCTGGATGCCCAGGCAGAAGTTTGCTACAGGGGTGGGGTTCTCATGGAGAAACTCTGCTAAGGCAGTGTGGAAGGGAAATGTGTGATCCGAGCCCCCACACAGAGACCCTAATGGGGCACTGCCTAGTGGAGCTCTGAGAAGACGGGCACTGTCCTCCAGACCCCAGAATGGTAGATCCACCTACAGCTTGTACCATGTGCCTGGAAAAGCTGCAGACACTTAATGACAGCCCATGAAAGCAGCTGGAGGGAGGCTATACCCTGGAAAGCCACAAGGGGAAGAGCTGCTCTAGACCATGGGAACCCACCTCTTGCATCAGGATGACCTGGATGTGAGACATGGAGTCAAAGGAGATCATTTTGGAACTTTAAGGTTTAATGATTACCCTATTGGATTTTGGAGTTTCATGGGGCCTGTAGCCCCTTTGTTTTGGCCAATTACTCCCATTTGGAATGGGTGTATTTACACAATGTTTGTACCCCCATTGTATCTATGAAGTAACTAACTTGCTTTTGATTTTACAGGCTCATAGGTGGAAGGGACTTATCTTGCCTCAGATGAGACTTTGGACTGCGGACTTTTGACTTAATGCTGAAATGAGTTAAGACTTTTGGTGACTGTTGGAAAGGCATGATTGTGTTTTGAAATGTGAGGACGTGAGATTTGGGAGGGGCCAGGGGTAGAAATAATATGGTATGGATGTGTCCTCACCCAAATCTCATCTTGAATTGTAACTCCCACAATTCCCACATGTCATGGGAGAAACCCAGTGGGAGGTAATTGGATCATGGGGGCCGGTCTGTCCTGTGCTATTCTCATGATAGTAAATAAGCCAAATGAGATCTGATGGTTTTAAAAATGGGAGTTTCTCTGCATAACCTCTCTCTCTCTCTCTCTCTCTGCCAGCTGCCATCCATGTAAGATGTGACTTGCTCCTCCTTGCCTTCTGCCATGATTGTGAGACCTCCCTAGCCATGTGGAACTATAAGACCAATAAACTTCTTTCTTTTGTAATTTGTCCAGTCTCAGGTATGTCTTCATCAGCAGTGTAAAAATGGATGAATACATATATATATATATAGTGAAATGATTACTACAAGTAAGTAAATGAGCATATCTCTCACCTTTAATAGCTTCCTCTTTTTTGTGGGGGTAAGAGGTAAGAACACATAAAATCTAATCTCTTGGAAAATTCTTCAATATGCAATACAATATTCTAAACTATAACCCTCCTGCTGAAAAGTATTTTCTGCAACATTTTTCACGTGTGGCTTATCTCACTTAGCATAATGTCCTCCAGGTTCCTCCATGTGGTCACAAATGGGAGTATCTCAGTATCTCGTTTTAAAGGCTAAATAATATCCCATTGCATACATATGCAATAGAATACATATATAAAATATATATGTAACTTTTTTATTCATTAATGCAATGATAGACACTTAGGTTGTTTTTATATCTTAGTTCTTGTAAATAATGCTGTGGAAAACAGGAGTACACAGATATCTCTACGTGGTCATTATTTTATTTTCTTTGGGTGTTTATCCAGCAAAGAGATTGCAGGGCCATATATATGGTAGTTCTACTTTTAGTTTTTTTGAAGAATCCCCATATTATTTTCCATAATGGCTGTACCAATTTACATTCTCAGGAACAGTGTAAAAAAATTCCCTTTTTTCCACATCTTTGTCAACACTTATGTCTTGTCTTTCTTATAATAGTTATCCTAACAAGTGTGATATAATATCTTGTTGTGGATATTCAATAAATTTTAGATATCACACCAAGAACTCAGGTGACAAAAGCAAAAATGAATAAGAGACTACACAAAACTGAAAACTTCTACAAAAATGAACATGAGACTATATCAAACTGAAAATTTCTGCACAGCAAAGAAAACAATTAACAGAATGGAAAGGCAGCCTAAAGATTTGGAGGAAAACATTGCAAACCATATATTATAAAAAGTTAATATTCAAAATATATAAGGAACTTTCACACAACTCAATAGCAAAGAAACAAATGACCTGATTAAAAAATGGGCAAATGACATGAATAGGCATTTTCCTGAAGAAGACATACAAATGGCAAGTAGGTATGTGAAAATATACCCAACATTGCTAATTGCAAATCGAAACCAAGTTCCATTCTTATGCAGCCAAATAGGGGTGCATAAGACTATCTTTCCCCACAGCAACATCTTAATTGCTGTAGTTTGATAATAACTCTTTAAATCAGGAAGTATCAGACCTCCAAATTTGTTCTTGTTAAAAATAATTTTTGTTATTCCAGATTATTTGAATTGTAATATAAATTTTAGAATCAACTTATTAATTTCATTTTTTTCTGTATCCTATTGCAATTGCATGACATTTATACATCAATTCAGAGAGAATTGATATCTTAACAATATTGAGTTTTCTAGTCCAAAAACACGACATATTGCTCTACTTAGTTAAGGTTTCTATAATGTCTTTCAGCAATATTTTGCGATATTTAGTTTAAAGGATTTACATTGATTTTGTTAAATTTATGTATTTATTGTTGTTATTGTAAGTTGAATTATATTCTCATTTTCCAATTGTTTACTGCAGTATATAAAATGCAGTTTACTTTTATATATTAACATGTATCCTGCAACCTTGATACATTTATTTAATAATTGTAATAATTGTTTTATGAGTTTCTAAGGACCTTCTAAATAAACAATTACATCACCTGCAAATAGATACAGCTTAACTTCTTAACTTCTTACATTTCTAAGTATATGCCTTTTTTTAAAAAATGGCTTGTTGCAATAGCAATAGCTAGAACAACCCCACCCCAATACAACACTGAAACAAAGTGGTAATAGCTCATCTTGTTCCTGGTCTTAAAAGGAAAGTGTTCAATAATTAACCATTAAGCATAATGTTAACTGCAGAATTTTTTACAGATGCTTTTTAAAAACAACATTGAGGTTATTCCTGCTTTACTCTATTTTATTGAGAGATATTTTATTTTAAACATGAATGAGAGTTGAATTTTGTCTGGTGTTTATTCTTCATCTATTGAAGTAATCATAAATTTTTTCTCTTTATTTTTTATTAGCATTGATTTTTCAATACTAAACAAATCTTTCATTCTATAAATAAACCTGACTTAGTGATGACATACTGTCCTCTTTATGTATTGCTGGATACAATTCTAAAATATTTTATTAAAAATTTCTGTGTACATGTTCATGAGGGTTACTTGTCTGTAGGTTTTTTTTCCCTTTAACATCTATTGTATCTATTTCTGCTTTGGTATCATACGAATACTGGCCTCATAAAATTACTTGGTATCTGTTCCCTCTTCTGCAACTTTTTGCAAAAATTTATGAGAAAGTTCTATTATTTCTTCCTTAAATGTTCAGTAGACTAGAATTTATGAGTGAAGGCATCTGGTCTACAGTTTTCTTAGTAGGTAACTTTTTCATTAAAAATTTATTTTCTGAGGGGGAGGCAGAGCAAGATGGCTGAAGAGGAGCCTCTAGCAACTGACCCCAACCTTCCCCTCCAGGAACTGAACAAATTCACACAAGAAAGCACCTTCATAAGAACCAAAAATCAGGTGAACAATCACAGTGCCTGGTTTTAATATTGTATCAAGAAAAGAGGCACTAAACAGGGTAAGAAAGGCAGCCTTGAATTGCCTATACCACCCTACCCCCATACCCTGGGGGTGGCAACATCGTATGGAGAGAGAATCTGTATGCTCGGGGTTGGAGGCACAGCAAAATGATTATGGGATTTTGCATTGGAACTCAGTGTGGCTCTGTCACAGTGGAAAGCAATATGGGGCAAAATTTGGCAGGTGCCCATTAAGGGAGCATTTAGACTAGCCTTAGCCAGAGGGAAATCATACATTCCAGCAGTCAGAACCTACTTCCAGCAGGCCTTTTGACCATGGACTAAAGGGCTCTGAGGTTCTAAATAAACTTGAGCAGTAGTCAAGGTCACAAGGACTGCAATTCCTGGGCAAGTCCTGATGCTGTGCTGGGCTTGGAGCCAATGGACTTGGGGCACATGCAACCCAGTGAGACACCAGCTGGGATGGTCACCCTCCCCGACTCCAGGCAGTGCAGCTCACAGCTCCAAGAGGAGAGGAAAGAGTAAAGATAGCCCTGTCTTGCAACTTGGATACCAGCTCAGTCACAGTAAACTAAAGCACCAAGCAGAATCCTAAAGCCCCTATTCAAGGGCATAGCTCCTGGACATTTCCAGACTAGGCCAGAAGAGAACCCATTGCCATAAAGTGAAGGACCTGGTGCTAGAATAATATACTACTTTTTGACTGAAGAGCCCTTGAGCCTCGAATAAACATGAGCAGTAGCCAGGCAACAGTTACCATGGGCCTTGGGCAACACCCAATATTGTGCTGACTCAGTGTGACCCAACATATTCCCAGCTGTGGTGGCCATGGGGAGAAATTCCTTCTGCTTGAGGAAAGTAAAGGTAAAGGTAAAGAGAACTTTTGTCTTGCAACCTGGGTACCAGCTCAGTCCCAGTAAAATAAAGCACCAATCAGAGTCCTAAAGCCCCTAATCCTAGGCCCTAACTCCTAAAAAGCATTTCTAGACCTATTCTGAGCCAGAAGGGTACCTGCCACACTGAAGAGAAAGAACCCCCCTGGCAGGATTCATCAACTGCTGACCAAACAGCCTTCAATAAATACCAGCAGTAGTGAGAAAATCATTGCCACAGGCCTTGGGCAAGACCCACTACAGGGTTAGCTTTAGGTATGACTTAGCACAGTCCCAGCAGTGATAGACACAGGAATGCTTGTGTCGTCCCTCACCAACTTCAGGCAGCTTAGCATGGAAAGGAACAGATCTTTACTTTGGGTGAAAGTAAGGGGGAAAAAAAAGAGTCTTTGCTTTGTAAGCCAGAGAATTCTCCCAGAACTTACCCAAGACCACCAAGGTGACACCTCTACAAGTCTGAAAGAGTCAAAGCATTACTGGGCTTGAGATGCCCCCTAATGCAGATACAGCTGCAGTGACCAAATATTTAGACCACAACACTGAATTCCCTTTGAATACTTGCAAAGCCATCTGAAGAAGGACAGGTACAAACAAACCCAGACTGTGAAGATTGGATAAATACCTAACTCTTCAACGCCCAGATATCAATGAACACCCACAAGCATGAAGACTATCTAGGAAAACATAACCTCACCAAATGAACTAAATAAGGCACCAGTGACCAATTCCAGAGTGACAGAGCTATGTTACCTTTCAGACACAGAATTCAACATAGCTGTTTTGAGGAAACTCAATGAAATTCAAGATAATACAGAGAAAGAATTCAGAATTATATCGATAAATTCAACAAAGAATTGAAATAATTAAAGAGAATTAAGCAGAAATGTTAGAGCTGAAAATTTTAATTGCCAAACTGAAGAATGTGTCAAAGTCCGTCAAAAATCAGTAATGACCAAGCAGAAGCAAGGATTAGTGTGCTTGAAGATAGGCTATTTGAAAACACACAGTCAAAGGAGTCAAAAGAAAAAAGAATAAAAAATAATGAAGCATGCCAATAAGATCTAGAATATAGCTTCCAAGGGGCAAATGTAAGAGTTATTGGCCTTAAAGAGGAGGTGGGGAGAGTGATTGGGTAGAAAGGTTTCTTAAGGAGATAACAGAATTTTTCCAACCTAGAGAAATATATTAATATTCAAGCACAAGCAGGTTATAGAACACCAAGCAAATTTAACCCAAATAAGACTACCTCAAGACAATCACGAAATTCCCAAAGATCAAGGATAAAGAAAGTGTCCTAAAAACAGCAAGACTAAAGAAATAAATAACATGTAAAGGAGCTCCAATACATCTGGCAGCAGATTTCTCAGTGGAAACCTTACAGGCCAGGAGAGAGTAGTATAATATATTTAAAGGGATGAAAGAAAAAAATTATCCTAGACCATTATATGCAGCAAAAATGTCCTTCAAATATAAAGGATAAATAAAGGCTTTCTCAGACAAACAAAAGTTGAGGCATTTCATCAACATCAGACCCCTTTTTGGGGGGTTTCTTGGACAGCCCCCAAGAAATGCTAAGGGGAATTCTTTAATCTGAAAGTGACCTTAACAAGCAATAAGAAATCATCTGAAGGTACAAAACCAGTCGGTAACAGTAAATAAACGCACAAATGCAGAATGTTATAACACTGTATTTGTAGTGGGTAAATGCTCGTATCTTGAGTAGGAATATTAAAAGATGAACCTATCAAAAATAATACCTACAAAAACCTTTTAAGACTTGACTGTATAAGAAGATATAAATAGAACAGCAAAATTTTAAAAAGCAGGGACTATGAAGTTGGTGTAGCTTTTATGTTTTCTTTTTGTTTCTTAGTTTGTTTTGCAATCAGAGTTAACTTGTCATCATTTTAAAATAATGGGTTATAAGATTTTATTTGCAAGCCTCATGGTAACCTCAAATCCAAAAACCTCAAGAGACATACAAAAAATATAAAGCAAGAAATTAAATCATAACACCAGAGAAAAACACTTTCACAAAAAGGAAGACAAGAAGGAAAGGAAAAAAAAAGGAAGGAAGAAAAGACTAAAAATGAACCAAAAAACAAATAACAAAATAACAATATGGTATAAAGTCCTTACTTAATAATAACATTGAATGTAAATGGTCTAAACTCTCCAATTAAAAGAGAGTAGCAGAATGGATTAAAAAAAAAAGACCCAATGATCAGTTCCCTATAAGAAAGACAGTTCATCTATAAAGACACATATAGACTATAAATAATGGTATGGAAAGAGATATTCCATAAAAATGAAAGCCATAAAATATCAGCAATGGTAAGACTTAGATAAGATAGACTTCAAGACAAAAGGTACGAAAAGAGACCAAGATTGTTATTACATAATGATAAAGGAAATCAATTCAGCAAAAGAGTATATAAATTGTAAATATATATGCACTCAACATTGGAACATCCAGATATGTAAAGCAAATATTATCAGAGCTAAAGAGAGAGACTTCAGTACACTAACAGTTGGAAAATTTAACACCCCTTTTTCAGCATTTGACAGATCATCCAGACAGAAAATCAACCAAGACTAATTGAACCTAATCTGCACTGTACGCTAAATGGACTTAATAGAAGTTTACATAACATTTTATCCAACAGCTGCAGAATCCAAATTCTTCTCCTAAGTACATGGATCATTCTCAAGTATAGACCATATGTTAGGTCACAAAACGAGTCTTAAAACATTCAAAAAATTTGAAATCATATCAAGTAATTTCTCTGACCACAATGGAATAAAACTAGAAATTAATAACAACAGAAACTTTGGAAATGATACAAACACATGGAAATTAAATAATATATTCCTGAATGACCAGTGAGTCAATGAAGAAATTAAGAAGAAAATTTAAAAACTTCTACCAGCCCAGTGTTACCTTGGTACTGAAACCAAAAAAGACATATTAAAAAAAGACTATAAGACAGTATCTCTGATGAAGAATGCTGTAAAAATCCTCAACAAAATACCAGCAAACTGAATTCAATAACGTATTAAAAAGATCATTCATCATGACCAGGTGGCATTCATCCCAGTGATGCAAGGATAGCTCAACATATGCAAACTGATCAATGTCATACATCGTATCACAGAATGAAGAACAAAAGCCATATGATAATTTAAAACTGAGGCTGAATAAATATTTGATGAAATTCATCATCCCTTCATGATATAAACCCTAAAAAACTGGGTATAGAAGGGAACATATTTCAACACAATAAAAGCCATATATGACAGACCCACAGCTAATATAATACTAAATGAGCAAACACTGAAAGCCTTTGTTCTAAGATATGGAACAAGACAAGGATGCCCCATTTTTACCAGTGTTATTTAACACATTACCTGACTTCCCTAACTAGAGCAATCAGAAAACAGAATGAAATAAAAGGCATGAAAATTGGAAAGAGAAAGAAGTCAAATTATTCTTGTTTGCAGATAATGCGAACTTATATTTGGAAAAACTTAAAGATTCTACAAAAAACTATTAAAACATAAATAAATTCAGTAAAGTCTCAGGTTACCAAATCAATAGCACTTCTATTAATACATGCCACCAGTGAACAATCTGAAAAGATATCAATACAGTAATCTAGTTTACAATAGCTACAAATAAAATTAAACACCTAGGAATAAACTTAAAGACGTGAGAGATTACTACAAGGAAAATTATAAAATATTGATGTAAGAAATTGAAGTGGACATGAAAAATGAAAAGATAGTGCATGTTCATAGACTGAAAGAATCAAATATAGTTAAAATGTGCATCCTACCCAAAGCGATCTACAGATTCAATACAGTCTCTATCAAATACCAATGATATTCTTCACAGAAATAGCAAAAGCAATTCTAAAATTTATGTGGAACCACAAAAGACCCAGAACAGCCAAAGCTATCCTGAGCAAAAAGTATGAAATGAGGAATCACATTACCAGACTTCAAATTATACTGTAGAGGTATAGTAACAAAAATACCATGGTACCAGCATAAAAACAGACACATAGACCAATGGAATATATAGAACCCAGAAATAAATCTATACATCTATAGAGAACTTGCTTTTGATAAAGTTGCCAAAAACATACATTGGGGAGAGGACATTCTCTTCAATAAATGGTGCTGGAAAAACTGAATATCCTTACACAGAAGAGTGAAACTAGACCCCTATCTCTTGCAATATACGAAAATAAAATCAAAATGGATTAAATACTTAAATCTAAGACCTCAAACTATGAAACTACTAAAAGAAAACAGTGGGGAGATTTTTGGGGCATTGGTCTGGGCAACAACTTCTTGAGTAATACCCAAAAGCACAGGCAACCAAAGTAGAAATGGATCACATCAATTTAAAAAGTTTCTGCACCACACAGGAAAAAATCAACAACATGAAGAGATAACCCATAGAATAAGAAAAAAATATTTGCAAACTACCTATCTAACAAGGGATTAATAACCAGAATATATGAAGAGCTCAAACAAGTCAAGAGGGAGAAAATATCTGAATAAACATTTCTGAAAAGAAGACTTATAAATGGCAAACAGGTATATGGAAAGGTGCTCAATATCCTTGATCATCAGAAAAATACAAAACAAACTATAATGAGACATCATATTACCCCAATTTAAATGGCTTATATGCTAAAGACAGGAGATAATGAATGCTGACAAGAATGTGGAGAAAAGAGAATGCTTATATACTGTTGGCAGAAGTTAAATGGGTATAACCACCATGGAGAACAGTTTGGAGGTTCCTCAAAAATCTAGAAATAGAGCTACCATATGATCCAGCAATCTCACTGCTGGATATATGCTCAAAAGAAAGGAAATCAGCATATTAAAGAGATACCTACACTCCATTGTTTATTACAGCATTATTCACAATAGCCAAGATTTGGAAGTAACCTGTGTTCATCAACAGAAAGTGGATAAAGAAAATGCAGTGTATATACACAATGAAGCACCATTCAGCCATAAAAAAGAATATCTTGTCATTTGCAACAACATGGATGGAACTGGAGGACATTATGTTAAGTGAAATAGGCCAAGCACAAAAAGTCAAACTTTGCATGTTCTCACTCATCAGTAGGGGCTAAAAATTAAAATAATTGGCTGGGCTCACGCCTGTAATCCCAGCACTTTGGGAGGCCAATGTGGGCGGATCACGAGGTCAGGAGTTCAAGACCAGCCTGACTAACATGGTGAAACCCCGTCTCTACTAAAAATACAGACACTAACCGGCTGTGGTGGCACGCGCCTGTAATCCCAGCTACTCAGGAGGCTGAGACAGGAGAATCGCTTGAACCCGGGAGGGGGAGGTTGCAGTGAGCAGAAATATTCATAAAATCATTGGAATAGAAAGTTTTTTCCTTATGTTATCTTCTAAGATTTTAATGGTTTTAGGTCCTACAATTAAGTCTAAGCAATTCTGAGTTAATATTGATATACAGTATAAGATAAGGATCCAATTTTTTTTTGCATGTTGATATCCTGCTTTCTCAATACAATTGATTGAAAAGAGTCATTTCCTCATCTATATTGTTGGCACTTTTGTTAAATATTAGTTGACTGTATATGATGAATTTATTTCTAGGCTCTTCATTCTGTCCCATTTGTATATGTGTCTGTTTTTATGTCAAAAACACTGTTTTGATTACTATAGCTTTGTAATATACTTTGAGAGCAGGTAATATAACTTCAGCTATGTTTTTCTTTCTCAAGAATGCTATACTTTTTCATGGTCTTTTGTAGTTCCATATGATTTTAGGATTTTTTTTTCTATTTCTGTGGAAAATGTCATTGGAATTTTGATAGGGATTTCTTGAATCTGTAGATCATTCAGGTATTATGAACATTTTAATAATATTGGTTCTTCCAAATCATGAACACACGTTATCTTTCCATTTATTTTATTTTTGTCTTCAATTTCTTTTATTACTATTTTATAAATTTCAATGTAGAAACTTGTCCTCTCTCTAGTAGAATTTATTTCTAGGTATTTTATTATTTTTAGGCTATTGTAAATTGAATTGTTTTCTTAATTCCTTTTTCAGATAGTTTATTGTTAGTACACTCATGCATCACTTAACAATGGGGATAGTTTCAGAGAAATGCATTGATAGGCAATATTGTCATGTGAACATCATACAGTGTACTTACACAAACCTAGATAGTATAGCCTACTACACACCTAGGCTATATGGTATAGCCTATCACTCTTAGGCTACAAACATGTACAACATATTACTGTACCAAATACTGCAGGCAACCGTAACACAATGGCAAGTATTTATATGTCTAAATATTTCTAAATGTAGAAAAGGCACTATAAAAATATAATATAAAAATTAAAAATAGTATAGGGCACTTAAAGTGGAAGTGGATGAAAGTTGCTCTGGGTGAATCAGTGAGTGAATAGTAAGTGGATGTGAAGGCCTATGACATTACTGTATACTAGGTAGACTTTATAAACAATGTATAGTACCCTTAGGCTGCACAAATTATAAAAATGTATTCCATAATAAATTGTCCTTAGCTTACTGTAACATTTTTAATTCACAAAATTTTAAATTTTACCTTTCGACTCTTTTTAAATAGCACTTAGCTTAAAACACAAATACTTTATACAGCTGTAAAAAATATTTTCTTTCTTTATATCCTTAGTCTTTAAGCTTTTTCTAAGTTTTTTTACCTTTTTCACTTTTTGTTAAAAACTAAGACACAAACACACAAGTTAGCCTAGGCCTACTCAAGGCAAGATAATCAATATGACTGTCTTGTACCTTTACGTCTTGTCTTACTGGGCTGTCTTCAAGGGCAATAACGCACATGGACTATCATCTGGCAATGTCTCCTTTTGAAACACCTACTGAAGCATCTGCCTGAGGCTCTTCTTGAGGAGGTGTCACTCTTTGCAGGTGTCACTTCTCCATGGTGATTTTCTTGGTTTGTTTTTTCTTTCATCATAGATTTGCTTGTAAGCTGATAATGTACCATGAACATTCTTCTCTATGAATAAAAACCATTTGGTGTTGAGGTCCATGTTTTGAAACTTCTAATAGGACTTGTTGAGGTCTGCAAAAGCTTCTACTGAACACTTCACTATAAATTTTCTTGGGGTTCTTATTCTCCTCAATGTCAACCCAGATTAAAGTTGTTTGAAATTTCAACCACAGCCTTGTTGATTTTTGCAATGTCTTTGAAGTTATGCAAATCTCTTAAGTACCTTTCTTCAGATGCCATTCATACTCCTTGATGATATTACCCAAACCCAAAAAAGGTTTTTAGTGCAGCTATAGATATGCTCTTTCCAGAATTGCATCATGTTTTCATGGTGTCTTCTTCAGTTTCAGCAATAGCCTGGGAAAAGCTCATTCTCAGGTAGTAGGCCTTAAAAGTTGCCATAACTCTTTGATCTATTGGTTGGATCAAGTTCGCTGGAAGTTATTCTCCAAACAGTACTTCTCCATTTTGCTTGCATAGCAATTCAGGAAGGCATCTTGCAAAAGAAGCTGGGGCATCCCACAGCTCCTTATTGTTCCTGCAGTACGCTAGCAGAATGTATATATTTATAAGCTTTGAAAGCTCTGGGGTTCTCACTACGTCAGATTACAAAGGATTTGAACTTGTAGCTTGCAACTTTGCCCACAAGCAAGACTTTTACCCTGTCATTAAAAGCTGTGAAACCTGGCATTGACTGGGCCTCCTTATACATGAAAGTCTTTTCAGGCATGTGTATCCAGAATAAAGAGGTTTCATCCATGTTAATGATTTGCTCTGGTAAGTAACTTACCTCCACAATGAGCTTATCTGGAGTTTCCAAAACTTCTTTAGCTGCCTTCACATCAGCATTCACAGACTCATCTCTCACTTTCACATTAGGTAATGAATGATTCTTGACATGGTTAAACCACACAGAGCTAGGAGTAAATTAAACATTACTGAGAGGTTCAGCCTTTTCTTTCAACATTGCAAGCAAACTTTTTGTTTTGGCCATGATTATCAAAGTGCTGAGAAGGGTATGTTTCTGAGTCTGATCTGCAATCCAAGTCATCAGAAGTTTTTCCATATTTAACACTAGCTTTTCTCAAATTTTTGTTAGTCTTGTTGCCATCAATGAAGCAGATCCTTTAACAACTTTAGCCACATTCTCCTTGTTATTCAAGATCATAGCTATGGTGGAATGGGACATGATTTCCTGGTAAGCCATAACCAGCATTTATTTTCTACCTGTTACCTTTAATCACTTAATTAAGTTTCAGGTCAATTATTCAATATGGCCTCTTATTGGTAACATTAACAAAGGATTTTGTACACTGAGGTGCCATAATGAACAAAACAATGTAAGATTAAATCAAGCATAAGAAAAATAATAAAATCAAGAGTTATGGTAAACACAAGATGTATGAGGTAGCTGCTGATGTGACATGGCATACTGTTTTATGGTAAACTTTTTTTTAATAAGTAAAAGGGGTACACTCTAAGTGACAAAACGCATAGTATAGTAAATACATAAACCAATGACATAGTCATTTATTTTTATCAAGTAGCATGTACTATACATAATTGTATGTGTTAGACTTTCAGCTTTTAATTTAGATATGGCGGTACATGTGCAGGTTTGTTGTGTGGGTACATTGCATGATGCTAAGGTTTGGGGTATGAATGATCCTGTCATCCAGGTACTGAGCACAGTACCCACTTATCAATTTTTTCTCTCATGCATGTTTTTGTTGTTGTATCTTAGAAGTAATTGCCAGATACAAGGTCATCTGGATTTCCTCTTATGTTATCGACTAGGCATAATAAAGTTTTGAATTTTACATTTAGTTATATAATCACATTTTCATTAAAGGCATATAGTCTGTGCCTGGATTCATAGTTCTGCATGTGGATGTCCAGTTGTTCTAGCAACATTTGTTTAAAAAAAAACTATCTTTTTCTGTTGAATTGCCTTTGATCTTTTGACAAAGATTAGTGGACTACATTTGTGTGGATCTATTTCTGGGCTCCCTATTCTGTCCCATTAATATATTTGTCTATTCTTTTACCAATACTGCACTGTCTGGATTTCTGTCACTTTATGATAAGTCTTCAAGTTGGATAGTGTCAGTCCTCTAACTTTGTTCTTCATTTTCAATGTTGTATTGGCTATCCAAGGTCTTTTGCCTCTCCATATAAATTTTAGAATCTGTTTGCTGATATTCCCAAAATAACTGGCTGAGATTTTGATTGGGATTGTATAGAGTATACATTTAACATTGGTAAGAAATGACACCTTGACAATATTGAGAAGATATTGTGTGTGGAATATCTCTCCATTTATTTAGATCTTTTGATTTCTCTCATCAGAGTTTTAGTTTTCCTTATACAAATCTTGTAGATATTTTGTTAGATTTTTACTTAAGTATTTTATTATCTTTTATTTTTAGTGCTGTGTGTTTCTTTTTTCTTTTTTTTTTTCTTTTGGTCTAGTAAGCTGTGATTCTGTGCATCTACTTGTCTCTCCTATTTGGGGATAGCAATTTGTCCTGTGCCCTCAATTCTCTGATGGGTATAAGAAGAGTTGTTAATTTTCAGTTTGTTCAGGTTTTTCTGGTTGTGGGCATGGAAGTGACAACTGATAACAAGCCAGACAGAAACCAGAAGTCTATTTTATTACTTTACAAAAAAAAAAAAAAAAAACCAGCTTTTGGCATTATTAATTTTTCCTGTTGTTTGTTTCTTATTTTATTGACTTTGGTTTTTATCTTTATCATATACCTTCTATTTTTTATATCATTGATTTTGGAACTCTGTTCTAATGTAAACATTTATAGTAAATTAAACTAAAATAAATTTCTCTCTAAACATTGCTTTATCTACATCCCTTAAATTTCGGTAGATTGTAATTTATTGTCATTTAGTTTTAAATATTTCTCAATTATTTTTGTGATTCCTTCTTCAAACTATAGATTTAGAATTGCATTGTTTATTTTTCAGATATTTGGCAATTTCAAGGTATGTCACTGTTATTGACTTCTAATTTAATTTGGTTATGGTCTGAAAACATACATAATCTATATTAGTTAGACCTTTTAAAATACATTCAGATTTATTTTACAACCCAGTATACAGTCTTCTTTGGTGAATTTACTATGTGATCTTGAAAATAATATGTATTCTGAAGTGGGGCTAAGAGTTCAATAAATATAAATTAGATCGAGATGACTAATAAAAAAATACTGTCAGCCCAAAATTCTATATTCAACAAGAATATCATCCAAAAATGAAGATGAAATAAAGACATTTTCAGTTAAATGAAACAGGAATTATTGCCACCAGAACTGCACTACAAGAAATGCTAACAAAATTCAACAAGCTGAAGGGAAATAACACCAAGAGAAAACTTGGACTTATAGGGATTAATAAAGAACATTAAAAATTAAAAATGTATAAGTAAATATAATGATGTGTTTTACTCTTTATTTAAAATACACATAACTATTTAAAGCAAAATCATAATGCTGTCTTGTAGGGTTTACAGTTTATATAAATAATGCCTATAACAGCATCATTCAATTTCTTAGCTGCAGTAACTATGGAAAAGAAACCAACAACTAAATTTGGTTGGTTGGATGCAAAATGCAAAATGTCCAATAGTTGTTTAAAGCTAACACATGAATTTTCATCAGACTCTAGAAAAAAAAAAGTTGTATTAATAAAATAATTTCCATTTTGAACATTAGCCCAACTTGAAAATTTTATGTAACTATGGAGTTGGGTAGCAGCTTTAAGATGGCCTAGTATTTCAGATAATTTTAAGGCCCAACCACTGCAAGCAGCTTATCTCAAGTCACAGATAAGACCAGGACCTGGGTTTCCAGACTCCTCATTAAATTCTCTGTTTGTGTCCCACTGGTTTCCTTCACTCTTACTTGCCAACATGTCATGGTCCATCTTTCTCTCTTTTTATGTTTCTTTTAAATTTTTTATACTTTTATCACTATATAATAGTTGTACATATTTTGGGGGTTCATCTGATACTTTGATATAGGTATACAATGTGTGATGATCAAATCAGTGTAACTGGAATATACATCACCTCAAACATCTATCTTTTTAATGTTGGTAATATTACAATTCTTCTCTTCCAAGTATTTTGAAATATAGAATAAATTATTGTTAACTATAATTTTTCCTACTGTGCTATCAAATACTAGAACCTATTCCTTCTATCTAACTGCATTTTTGTACCCATTAATCAACTTCTCTTCATTCCCCCTTCCCTTTCCAACATCTGACAACCACCATTCTACTCTCTACCTCCATGACGTCCACTTTTTAACTCTCACATATGAGTGAGAACATGTGATATTTGTCTTTCTGTGCCTGGCTTATTTAACTTAAAATAATGACCTTCGATCCCATTCATGTTGCTGCAAATGACAGGATTTTATTCTTTTTATGGCCGAATTTATTCTTTTTATGGCCGTATTCTATTGTGTATATACACCACATTTTCTTTATACAGTCACCTGTTGTTGGACATTTAGGTTGATTCCAAATCTTGGCTATTGTGAATAGTGCTGCAATAAACATGGGAGTGTAGAAACCTCTTTGACATACTGATTTCATTCCCTTTGTGTATGTACCCAGTAGTGGGATTGCTGGATCATATGGTGGTTCTATTTTTAGTTTTTTGAGGAACCTCCATATTGTTTTCCATAAAGGCTGTACTACTTTACATTCCCACCAACAGTGTACAAGCACTCCTCTTTCTTCGCATCCTAATCAGCATTTGTTATTTTCTGCCTTTTTGATAATAGCCATTTTATCTGGAGTGAGACGACATCTCAGTGTGGTTTAGATTTGCATTTATCTGAAGATTAATGATGTTGAGCATTTTTTTCATACAGTTGTTGTCCATTGTATGTCTTCAAGAAATATCTATTCAGATCTTTTGCGTATCTTAAAATCAGATTGTTTGTTTGACTATTGAGTTGAGTTTCTTATACTTACTGGATATTAGTTCCTTGTCAGATGAATATTTTTCACATATTTTCTCCCATTCTGTAGATTGTCTCTTCACTTTGTTGATTGTTTTCTTTGCTGTGCAGGCAATTTTTATCTTGTTGTAATCCCATTTGCCAATTTTTGCCTTGGTTGTCTCTGCTTTTGTGGTCTTGCCCCAAAAAATCTTTACCCAGACCAATGTCCTGTAGTTTCCCCAATGCTTTCTTCTGGTAGTCTTACAGTTTCAGGGTCTACCTTTAAGTCTAACCCATTTCTAGTTTATTTTCAAGTTGATTTTGAAAGATCTTTATAGTTTTTATAAACACTTTCTTACTTGGAGTTTCTAGCAGGTAGGAATTACTTCTGTTCCTTCTATCTCCTTCAAATGCCTACATATAATAGAGCTCTACAATAACAGAGGCTTAAAAATTCTCATGAAGTGATTGAACCCTTGTAAACTAAAATCCTTTGAAATAGTCTTCTGAAAGTTAAGAGAGACTTTAATGGTCATCTACACAACAGGTAGAGGCACCTGTACTCCTTAAAGAAAAAGCAGAAGAAGTGAACTCTGAGGTGACTCGGTCATTGCCTCTTCCTAAGCCATCCCTTACCAGATTTGCTGATACGTACACAGCCTCTTATCCTCGCTAGAGTCAGCATGTGTTCTAGTTAAAAATATTTTCCTTTCAGCTTCTCTAAAATTTGGACTCTGTTTATGGCTAATAAATTAAACATGTTTCTCTAGGATGTTATTTAAACCATAATTTGAACCATGGCATTTTGTACAAAAAACAATACAAATGGCAATACTGCTATTTGTGGCAATTTTAACAAGCAACACCCATGTAATTCTCTACAAATTAGTATTTAACCAGAAAATGCAACTGTTTTATTTTTCACATGATCACTTGAACTTCATTCTTTTTTTCATTATAATAAGCCCCTATGTTGTAGAAGACATGATTGTCCAGATAAATTTATCTGTCTCAAAGGCTTACTGATTAAAAATAAAGAACATAAAACATAAAATTAAAAGTTTTGCCAATTTTCAATCACCCAAGCAGCAACCACATTGAAATGAATAATTTGTCAAATGCCTAGAAACTTTTTAGCACACTTCTGCTTATGAAAATTAAATAATGATTTTTGCTAAAGTAATCATTTGAAAAATCTATTTAATAATACAAAGATGATATTTCTTGCCATAAATTACCTAGATCCCTAATGTTCTTAATTTAATGTAATTATTGCATAATATTGGTAGAATTTTCAAGCTAAGGAAATTATTCCTTACATTTTTTTCTACCTATTCCTTCCTTTCCATTTCCTCTGCCAACATCTTATTTCATTCTTTTTCCTTTTGTTCTTAAATGAATATAATAGCTATGCCATTTGTTTCCTTGGCATAAGTCATGCAGCCCACTTCAAATCACCCTGCAAATTAGTCTTCCAAACAAATTTATTTCAAAGGTTTTCTTGCTTAAATTACATTAGTAACTCCCATTATTTACTCTATACAACCCAAATTCCTTAGCCTCACATTTGAGAATCCCATTATTCTCTCAATTTAGCTGCAGCCACCACCACACCTGTTTCTTCCATTCCAGCTGGACACATTTACTTTCTCACGTATTCTTCATCCCTATTTCTGATCCTGATGTAATGCTCTGGCAAGCAGAGCACCATGTAGCTGTCCTTTCCCCCACCCATCCAAACACTCTTTTCTTCCATGGCCCAAAACATCTCTCAGGCTCAGTATGACTTGACATTTGATTTGTAACTCTTGCTGAGTTTTCCTTTTCAGTGTTTAATTTGTAATATTTGTGACCTCAAAAAAAGCTACTCTCTTAATTGTCCATATTTCTAACCTTCCTTAAAGATGATCTGAGATCAAGGGCCACATACCCCATCCTTTCATCTTTCTCTTCCACCCATGCAGTTATGAGCTAAAAAGGCCCAGACCTGGCTCCCTTAATTATTTCTCTAAGCTGTCATTTTCTCATATGTCAAATGGAGATAATAATAGCTCCTATGTCATAATTACTGTGAGGATCAAATGAGAAACCTATAAAAGGTGTTTAAAGCACCTGCTGCTTCGGTAGTAATTAGTATTTTATTTCATATTTTACTATTACTGCTTTATCCCCATCATCCTCCTCCTTCTCTTCTTCTTTTTTTTTTTTTTTTTTTTTTAATTCTATGCAACTTCTTAAGGCCCGGAAGCAGTTTCCAAGAAGATGTGAGAGTGGCGGAGATGTGTTTGGCTGTGGATCTAACTCACTTGCCCTTGCTCTCCACATTTCACTATTTCTTTAAGCCCTGAGCAGTAAGGCCATTCATAACATGAAAGTTTTTAAAAATGAGACTTGGAGTTGAACTTTTGTTTGAAATAGCAAAAACAGACCTTTACCCTGCTTTAGTCTGGCCTATAGAACTGAATAAGCCCTGCTGCAAAAGCTACTGGATGGAGAATTTGCCATAATTAGATCCCAGTCATTCATGCATGGTGAGTACTGTTTGGATCTCATTAACAGAGATATTAGCATATTGAAAACCATCTTCAGATAAGGTCAAAAAAGCAGAGACTAGGCTGCGCAGGCATTTCAAATGTAGCATTGCTACCTGCTTGGGAAGATCAGAGAGTGACCTTTCATTCCAGACAATTGTACTAAAAGCTGAGCCACTGCTATATGAAATCATCTGCTAAGTCATTTCTACTGTGCCAAAATTTTAGACTGAGCTAATTTAAGATAAACATAGCTCTTTCACAGATACTCTCTATAGAAAGTTGTTTTTGTCTCTTTCTTCTTTTACTTTTTACTTTCTTCCCTTCCCTTCCCTTTATTTGCTTGTGATATGAATTTGCTGCTTGAAGTAAAGCATGTGACTCTACCCATTTTTCTGATTTACAAATATATAACTGTCAATATCTCTTCAGTATTTGGGGTATGGTGCACTATTTGAAAAAATGTACCCAGAGTGACCTCCCACCAGTTGTCTGAATGTGGAATACTCTTCTGAGCAGTTTCAAAGGTATTCATGACTTAGAAAAAGACCAAACTACACTGATTGATACTTAGAACACTCCAGAATTTTATTTTAGCCTCTCTCTTAAGTTTTACCTCCCAGAACTTCCTATGGCAAACCCATGTTTCAGTCTAAATCATTCATTCATTCATTCAAGGCATAGTTATTGAACACCTACTCTGAGTCAAGCCCTACCCTAAGTACTGAGAATTTAGTGATAACAGTGCCTGAGCTGGTGGGACTTAGAAACCAGAAAAAGAGGTAGATATTAAGAAAATAAATTGCTAAAAAATTTAATTACAATTGTGATAAGTACAACACAAACATACAGTGTGCAGTGGCAATTTGTAACAGAGCATCTTACCAAGTCTCTGGAGATTAGACTTGTAGAAAATTATGTATAATCCAGACTGTAGTATTTAGTAGGTGTTAGGTAAAAGTAGAATGGGCAATAGGAATGTTTCAGGACTAGATCCACACATCTGAGTCTAAGGATTCTAGAACTGGAACTCTTTCTGACCAAGTCTCTAATTTTAATCTGATGGGTATTTAGGCCAGTTACCTGGTATACTCTCAAACAGTCTCAAACCCCATTTGGGTTTCTTAATTGATTATTTTTATTTTTATGGATTTAAGGGTACAACTACAGTTGTGTTATGTGGCTATGTCATGTAGTGGTGAAGTCTGGGATTTTAGAGTACCCATTCACTCAAAGAGTGTACATTGTACCCAATACCTCATACCCCTCCCCACCAAAAGATAGAGACCCATCTTTTGGAGTCACCAATATCTATTATTCCACTCTATGTGTCTGTTTGTACCCTTTGTTCAGCTCCCAGTTATAAATGACCACACAGGGTATTTGATTTTCTGTTTCTGAGTTATTTCACTAAGGATAATGGCCTACTGTTCCATCTGTGTTGCTGCAAAAGACATGATTGCATTTTTTATGGCTAAGTAGTATTCCATAATGGATAGATACATAGATAGATAGATAGATAGATAGATCACACATATGCCATATTTTTTATCCAGTCATCTATTGATGACCACTTAGGTTGATTACATGATTTTGCTATTGTGAATATTACTACAGTAAACATATGAGTACAGATGTCTTTTCGATCAAATTATTTTTTTTCCTTTGGATAGATATTCAGTAGTGGGATTACTGGATCAAAGGGTAGTTCTATTTTTAGTTCCTTGAGAAATCTCCATACTGTTATCTATAGAGGTTATACTAATTTAGATTCCAACCAACAGTGTATAAATGTTCCCCTTTCTCTGCATCCTTGCCAACATCTGTTGGCTTTGTATTTTTAATAATGGCCACTGGAAGTGGTGTAAGATGGTATTTCAGTGTGGTTTTAGTTTGTATTTCTCTGGTGATTAGTGATGTTGAGAATTTTTTATATACTTGGTGGCTGCTTGCACGTCTTCTTTTGAAATATGTCTTTTGTACAATTTTAATGTTTTTTTCTTGTTTCAGTTCCTTGTAGATTCTGAATATTAGCAATTGGTTAGATGCATTGTTTGCAAATATTTTCTTCCATTCTTTATGTTGTCTGTTTACTGTTGGTTACTTCTTTTGCTGTGCAGAAACTTTTTAGCTAATTTGTTCCATTTGTCTGTTTTTGTGTTTGTTGCATTTCCTTTTGAGGACTTAGTCATAAATTCCTTGCCTAGACCGATGAACAAAAGACTTTTCTCTAGGTTTTCTTGTAATATTTTCATAATTTCAGGTTTTACATTGGTGAGAGATCGGAGTCCAGATTAATTCTTGTGCACATGGCTCTCCAATTTTCCCAGCACTATTTATTGTATAGGGTGTCCTTTGCCCAGTGCCTATTTTGTCGACTTTGTCAAAGAACAGTTGGTTGTAGATATGTGGCTTTATTTCTGGGTTTTCTATTCTGTTCCACTGATCTATGCATCTATTTTTATAAACAAGTACATGCTGTTTGGGTTACTATAATCTTGTAGTATAATTCAAAGTGAAGTAATTTTTTACCTCCAGCTTTATTCTTTTTGCTTAGAAATGCTTTGGCTGTTCAAGCTCTTTTTTGGTTCCATATGAATATTAGGAATATTGTTTAATAACTATGTGAAAAATGACATTGGTAATTTGATAGGAATTTCATTGAATCTGTAGACTGCATTAGACAGTATTGTCATTTTAACAATATTGATTATTCTGATCCATGAGCATGGGATGTTTTATTATTTATTTGTGTCATCTCTGATTTCTTTCATCAGTGTTTTGTAGTTCTCCTTTTGGAGATTTTTTACCTCCTTGGTTAAATTTTTTTCTATGTATTTTTTTTTTGGTAGCTATTGTAAATTGGATTGAGTTCTTGACTTGGTTCTCAACTTAATCATTATTGCTGTATAGAAATGCATATAGATTTTTGTATATTGATTTTGTATCTTAAAACTTTACAGAAGTCATTAATCAAATCTAGGAGGGTTTTGGAAGATTTTTAGCATTGTCTTGGTATCATCAGCAAACAGGGATGATTTTACTTCCTGGTTTTTAATTTTGATCCCTTTCACTTCTTTCTACTCCCTGATTGCTCTAGCTAGGACTTCCAGTGTCTTGTTGAATAGCAATAGTGAAAGTAGGCATTCTTGTCTTGTTCCAGTTATCAGGAGGAATGCTTTCAACATTTCCTCATTCAGCATGATGTTGGCTGTAAGTTTCTCATATATTGTTTTCATTATTTTGAGGTATGTTCCTTCTATGCCTAGTTTGGTAAGAGTTTTCAATCATAAAAGAATGCAGAATTTCATCAAATGCTTTTTCTGCATCTATTGATATGATCATATCATTATTGTTTGTAATTCTGTTTATGTAGTGAATCACATATATTGACTGGCATATGTTGAATCAACCTTGCATCATGGAATAAAACTCACTTGATAATGGTGTATTATCTTTTTCATGTGTTGTTGCATTCAGTTTGTTAGTATTTTCTTGCGGATTTTTGTATGTATGTTCATCAAAGATGTTGGTCTGTATTTTTCTCTTTTGTTGTTGTTCTTGTTTCTTTTCCTGGCTTTGGAATAAGTGTAATGCCGGCTTCACAGAATGAGTTAAGGAGGATTCCCTCCTCCTTGAGTTTTTCAGCCAGTTTCAGGAGGACTGGTATCATTAGTGCAAAAGTGATTGCGGTTTTTGCCATTACTTTCAATGGCAAAATCCACAATTACTTTTGCACCTAATAGTTCTTCCTTGTACATCTGGTAGAATTTAGCTGTGAATCTGCCTGGTCCTGGGCTTTTTTGTTGTTGCTGTTGCTGGGAGATTTTTTTTTACTACTGATTCAAGTTCTCTATTTATTATTGGTCTGTTCAGAATTTCTATTTCTTTCTGGTTCAATATTTGGAGGTTATATGTTTCTTCTAGAAACTAGAGCTATTTCCTCTAGGTTTTCTAATTTGTCAGTGCATAGTCGTTTGTAAGTCTCTGACGATCTTCTGTATTTCTGTTGCATCAGTTGTAATGACAAATTTGTCATTTCAGATAGTGCTTATTTGAATCTTATTTCTTGGCTAATCTAGCTAGCAATCTATCAATTTTGTTTATCTTTTCAAAAAAAATTTTTCATTTCACTGATGCATTTTTTTATTTATGATTTTTTTTTTGTCAACTTCATTTAGTAGTGCTCTGATGTTTGTTACTGCTTTTCTTCTAACTTTAGGTGTGGCTTGTTCTTGTTTTCCTAATCCCTTGAGGTGTGACATTAGGTTGTTAATTTGAGATCTTTCTACCTTTTTGATGTAGGGATTTAATGCTATAAATACCCCCTAAGTACTGCTTTTGCTGTATCCCAAAGGTTTGGTTGTTGTGAAGCAGATAATTTAACTTCCATGTATTATTTTGAGAGTCCCACTTAGTATTGATTTCTAGTTTTATTCCACTGTGGTTTGAGAGGTTACTTGATGTGATTTTGATTTTTAAAAATTTATTTAGACTTGCCTTGAGGCCTAGCATACCATCAATTTTTGACTATGTCCCACACACAGATGAGAAGAATATATGTCCTGTAGTAATAGGATAGAATGTTCTTTAAATGTGTGTTAGGTCTTTTAGGTCCAGGGTACAATTTAAATCCAGAGTTTCTTTGCTGATTTTCTGCCTTGGTGATTTCTCTAGTGCTGTCAGTTTGATACTGAAGATCGTACTATTATTGCATTGCCTTCTATTTTTTTCTTAGGTCTAGTAGTATTTGTTTTATGAATCTGGGTGCTCCAGTGTTGGATGCATATAATTTAGAGTCGTTATATCTTCTTGTTTAACTGATTCTTTAT
The DNA here is from genome assembly GCF_000001405.40 of Homo sapiens. Lineage (NCBI taxonomy): Eukaryota > Metazoa > Chordata > Mammalia > Primates > Hominidae > Homo > Homo sapiens. The sequence goes on from NC_000014.9 coordinate 38,501,992, forward strand.
CATGACATAATGGCCTTTTAAAAAAAAACCTGTAGTGGATTTAGATTCTGTTTTATCTGATAAAAGTATAGCTACCCCTGCTTACTTTTCCTTTCCATTTGTGTGGAATAACTTTTTCCACTCCTTTACTTTGAATCTGTAAGTGTATTTATCAGTTAGGTGGGTTTCCTGTATGCAGCCAATGGTTGGATTTTGATTTTTTAATATTTTCCAGCAGCCTATATATTTTATGTGGACCATTTAGTTTGTTTATGTTTAAGGTTAGTGTTGATATGTGAAATTTTCTTCATAGCATAATGTTAATTGTTACCTAATTGTTTTTGCAGTCTTGATTGTGTAACTGCTTTATAAGACTGTGGGTGTTACACTTGCCTGTGTTTTTTATGATGATGAGTATTACATAAATATTCAAACACAATCCCTTAAATATTTCCCTTGCAAGTATGATGATCTCCATGTCTGAATCATGGACTCAGTCATCCCTAACTGTTGCCTATTCTGGATTCAGTACCACCTGCCACTGCTGCAGAACCTCTAAGGCATGCTCCAGGATCCTAAGCTTTCTTCTTCTATATGACATCTTTATGTCCCGAAATTCTGCATCTGGAAGGTCACAATCGCTTCTTTCAAACAACCTTCTCTACCACCTGTCCCCTTGCATTAGTCTGTGTTTCAGGTGTCATATCTAGGGGTGGTGATAAGTGTTCTCCTGACACAGGTTACTGCAACTGTGGCTTCCAAGTACCTTTCCTCTCCTTAAAAAACCAAAATCAACATAGGGACTTAAAAGATCATCTTTGATGAATCTCTTCCAAATTTTTATTTTGTGAATAGAAGAGACACAAACAGAATCAGTAAAGTATTAGAAGGTATATATATTCCTCTTTTCCTTCCTTTTGTGAACAGTTTATAACTTTCCAAGGGTTTTCAAAGTCATTCTCATCACAACACACTAATGTGCCCTATGTCAGTGACTCCTGAAAGACCATGCTCTTTCCTGAATACCAATCAAATTTTCAGCAATTGTCTCGAAATTGTTTTGCCCCATTCTGATCAACAACAACCAAACCTTGAAGCAGATCTGGTTTTGGTGGGGATGGTAGTAAATCCTAGTAAATCTCTACATGCAGTAGATATAAAATACAGTCCACAAACTTATATGAACAAAAAATAACAAACTATTTCAATTCCTTTAAATCAAATCAAACCCTGAGCCCTCAGTCTTTTCAAATATAAGTGCAGCTCTTTTTCCCAGGTTGGTTCAAAGATACAGGGCCAAGGAGATCCCTCCATGCATATTACTGACTCACAGTAGCTTACACTCTGATGCCCATTGTCCAGTCTACATGGATCCTATAGATCAGATGGTTCTACTTCTGTGCCTATGTAGAATCCAGGAACATTTACCAAGGTCAGAATGTTCATTCCCTATGTTCCTATCTCCTTAAATAAATCATACACACAGGGCCCTTCTAGGACTTATTTAGAAATAAATCCTTCTAGGGCCCATTATCCCTTGGAGGGACTCACACTAAATAAGTCCTGCTCCCCAGATCCTCCTCTACTTTCATATCAAACTGCTGACTTTGGCTTTGAATAAATTAGTCACTCTTTTCTCATTGATATTGCCAGCCCTATACACAAGTCTTCAACAAGGAAAAAACTTATTAAAGGCTATCTTCAGTGAACAGGGTAGGAAAAATATTACATGATAATATTTTAATAAATTATCTGCTGGTGTTATAAATGACCCATTCATCCTCTTCATTACTGTAGCACACTGTACCTTATTACTTCTGGCCTTGTGATATCTGTGTGTGTGAATATGTTGTGCATACACACATATACGTCTTTATTTTTCTAACAGTTAATAAGATTTTGTATTAGTCCGTTTTCACACTGCTGATAAAGACATACCTACGACTGGGAAGAAAAAGAAGTTTAATTGGACTTACAGTTGCACATGGCAGGGGAGGCCTCAGAATCACGGCAGGAGGTGAAAGGCACTTCTTACATGGTGGCAGCAAGAGAAAATGAGGAAGAAACAAAAGCAGAAACCCCTGATAAACCCATCAGCTCTCATGAGACTTATTCACTATCCCAAGAATAGCACGGGAAAGACTGGCCCCCATGATTCAATTACCTCCCCCTAAGGTCCCTCCCACAAGATGAGATTAGGGTGGGGACACAGAGTTAAACCATATCAGATTTGTAAAGGCAGTCAATATAAATTCTTTTATAATCCCTCATAATAATGATCATAAAATAGACTCTGAATAACTATTTAAAAAGTGAATGGATATGTGTTTATAAAATAATGCTATTTTAACTTTTAAATGTAGATGATGCTTTCCAAGTAGAAAAAAATAAAACTAAAAAAGCTGATAAAGCAATTCATTTTATCCTAAAGTTGTTTAACTATCAACAAACATCGTTCTAACTGTACATGCTCAAAGTATTAAATGTGGTGTAGAGTATTATATATATGACCAAACTGGGTAATAGGCCAAGAATCATTATTTAGAATTAGTAGCTCACTCATTGGGAAGATGTCCTTGTCTCAAGGCTATCAGGAAACCAATTTACATTCTTATCTCCCAAACCAAAAGATCTTGAATTGTTGTCTAAGACAAGTATAAACAAGATCTAGGTCTATGGACCTAGAAATGTTATACTGCAAGTTTCCTTCCTAAGGACAAACACCGTGTCCTTACCACCAAAAGCTAATGAGATGACAGTAATGTGTGGATATATTATGGATTCATTGCACTGACCTTCACAAAACTGCATATTGCTTTGCTTGTAGCTTTTCACAACAAATTTTATATGTCTAGTTCACCCTAGTAAGGCTAGCAAGTATCTTCGTTTAGAGAACTGAAATTTGTTTCACATTTAAATCAAGAGACAAGTAACATAAGGAAATATTTCACAGAAACATAAAATTTCTTAAGAGTTTGGGGCGCAACTTTTTCCCTTATTTTATGCTTCTAAACATTAATTATTACAGGGCATTCATATTGAAATACACAACAGGACAAGATGAACTATGTTTAGGCTTCTTAGAAATACATTTGCTTTCATTAAAGAACCACATTCTTCTTCTATCTTAACCTTAAGTCATCTTGTCACATTGTTAAATTAAGACATTTCCTAAATATTTTAGTGTCAAATAAAACCATCGCCCTCATTAGCTTGAGGAAATGGAAAAGATCAAATTGATGAGAAGTGTCAAGAGTTCTCAGTTTTCCATTTTGATTGTGGCAAATAGCCCAGCTCCATGCTAGTCATTAATAGCAAAAGCAAACTTACAATGCTTATGTTCACACACATACCAGTATTAGAGAGTGTGTGTGTGTGTGTGTCTGTGTGATGCTGTTGATGTTTTGAACTCTCCCTTAGGCATCTGGTATTCAAGCTTTCTCAGCATTTTTTACTTGAGAAGAAATCATTTTGGGAAAGCATTAAAAACACAGCAAATATCAGTGTAACATAAACAACATTCTTAATCCTACAGCAATGTGATTTGGCCCTGGACACCTGCTCTCCAAAAAAAATAAACTGAGATTACATTTTATTTTGAATCCACCAAAATATATTTTTATGTCATTTGCTTAGTAATGGACTAAATATGCAAATCCTTGAGGTATTCATTTCCCTACTTCAATACCAACAATAAAATAAAATCCCTTGATCCAGGCAGCAAATGTTAATAAACTTCTCATACGTGGTAATTATTGCTGACCACAAAATTCCAGTCCTAGCAGCATCCCAGTAAACAAAAAGTGTTACTAGGCCTATGGAAGAGGATAAATTCTACTGAATAATCATGCAAGAAGGAGATAAGATTGAATACGGAGGAAAAGGGAGTTCTAACAATACATGGGACTTACATTTTAAGGAAAGGTTAGACAAAAGCATGAGGGCATAACTAATAAATCATTTTGAATTTTATGACTCAAAGTTTGGCTTACAAACTGTATGCTGGAATTGCATTTCCCCACTTCTTTGATGAGGACAAATCTCTTTTTAACTGCAGTGAACATTCAGCAGCTCAACGTATGGCATGATCATTAAATCAATGAGCCAGCTTTTAGAAGCAGCCTTATGATAATGAGCCACTCACAGTTATCTCCCTTTGTAGTACTCAGCCATCATTTTCTTTTACTTTGCTCTTCTGACCTCAGCATCAGTACTTTATTTTACTACTACAAAGAAGATATTTTGAGAGCCAATTTAACCTTTAGCTGCACATTCTCCAACTATGATTTTACCCCAGAATGTCAAAGAATGTTCTTAAAGAAGAAAGCTGAAAGAATAAAACTTCTTGTTCTGTGTTCAACATTTTTCACTGACACTAGATCCTTCATTTGCATAAGTTCTTAGATAACCAAAACAATCAACAAATATTTATTATGCGTCAGCTTTACACAAGGCACTGAGGTAGCTACAGAGGGTACACAGATGAACAAATCACATTCTAACCATCTAAAAGCTTAACAGTTGTCCCTCAGTATCCACAGGAGACTGTTTCCAGGACCCCCACAAATTCCGAAATCCACAGATGCTCAAGGCCTCTATGAAAATGATGTAGTAATTGCATATAATCTATGCACATCCCCCCATATATTTTAAATCATCTCTGGATTGCTTATAACAGCTAATACAATATAAATACTGTGTAAATTGTTGTTCTACTGCATTTTTATTTGTATTCCTACTGTTGTATTGTTATTTATTTATTAAAATATTTTTGATCCTTGGTTGGTTGGATCTGCAGATGCATAGGACCCAAATGTACTATAATTCGAGAATGGCAAATATGTAGCAGACATGCCATTATTCACATCTCCTGGGCCAGTGCAGATATTTCTAATAAATGTGAGTATAATATCCTGCTGATCTCCAGGGTTACCTCGGAGTCCTTCTCAATGCTTGCAATCAGCATCCAAGATGAAATTTATCTACTACGGATGATCCAAATGAAGACATTGGATAGCTATTAAAGAAAACAACTGACATATAGTATAAGGTGTACTTTTAATGAATGACAGAAATTAAGTGCCATAGAATGGCAAAGGAAGAATCACCCACTAAGGATGGAAAAAGGAATTTTTCCAAAGGATTTAGGACCTCTGTCATGTGGCTTCAAAAGACAAATTGAATTTAGCTAGAGAAAATGAAGGAAAATAGTTCAGATAAGAAGAATGGCAACAAAGACAGAGGCAATAATGAGCAAAACAAGCTTAGGGAATAGTTGAGGGCGGGTTAGCTTGACTAGAGCAAAGATTTATGTGGAGAATAGCAGTAAATACAATTAGAAAGGAAGTTTGGGAGTCAATTGCAAAGGTCCCCAAATGCCATGCTTGGGTGCTTGAGCTTTTATCTACTTATTCAATCCTAACTTGAATTGACTAAAATCCAAAGTAGCTATAATTGGGTTGATAGCTCAAGATACCCAAAATAGAGTTTGAGGTACTTGTTCTCCACTGATCCCTCAGCAGCTCCAGTTTCAGCCCTTCTCTACTTTGTTCTGTGTCACAGAATGCTAAGCTCTTTGGAATGTAACCTAGGCTCTTTCTTGCCCTCCAACTTCTAAATGGTTTCAGTAAAGGTGCCAAGAGAAGATCAGAAGGCAGGATGAGAATGCAAGTGTTTATTAAAACCCCCACACCCTCTCTGCTAGGCTGTGATTTTGGCAGTGGCTTGGTTCCTCTATATAAGGTGGCCTCTCATCTACCACTGTATTAGTTTGTTTTCATGCTGCTATGAAGAAATACCCAAAACTAGGTAATGAATAAAGGAAAGAGGTTTAATTGACTCACATTTCCACAGGACTAGAGAAGCCTCAGGACACTTATAATCATGGTGGAAGAAGAAGCAAATACATCCTTCGTCATGTGGTGGGAGGAAGAAGTGCCCAGCAGAGGGAGGAAAACCCTTTATAAAACCATCAGATCTTGTGATAACTCACTCACTATCAGAAGAACAGCACGAGGGTAACCGTCCCCATGATTCAATTACCTCCCACCAGGTTCTCCCATGACATGGGGGGATTGTGGGAACTATAATTCAAAAGGAGATTTAGGTGAGGACACAGCCAAACTATATTATTCCACCCCTGGCCCCTCCCAAATCTCATCCTCACATTTCAAAACATAATCATGACTTTCCAACAGTCCCCGAAAGTCTTAGCTCACTCCAGCATTTACCCAAAAGTCCAAGTCCAAAGTTTCACCTGAGACAAGGCAAGATCCTTCCACCTACGAGCTTGTAAAATCAAAAGCAAGTTAGTTACTTCCTACATACAGTTGGGGTACAGGCACTGGGTAAATACACCCATTCCAAATGGGAGAAATCAGTCAAAACAAGGGGGCTATAGGCCCATGAAAGTCCAAAATCCAGTAGGGCAATTATTAAACCTTAAAGTTTCAAAATAATATCCTTTGACTTCATGTCTCACATCCAGGTCATGCTGATCTAAGAGATGGGCCCCCACAGCCTTGAGCAGCTCCATTCCTGTGGCTTTGCATGGTACAGCCCCATCCTGGCTGCTTTCACAGGCTGGTGTTGGGTGTCTAAGGCTTTTCCAAGCCCACTGTGCAAGCTGGCAGTGGATGTACCATTCTGGGGTCTGGAGGAAGGTAGCGTTCTTCTCACAGCTCAACTAGGCAGTGCCCCAGAGGAGACTCTGTGTGGGTGCTCCAACTGATATTTCCCTTCCACACTGCCCCAGTAGAGGTTCTCAATTAAGGTTCCACCCCTGCAGCAAACTTGTGCCTGGACACCCAAATGTTTCCATACATCCTCTGAAATCCAGGCAGAGGTTCCCAAACCTCAATTCTTGACTTTGGTGTACCTGCAGGCCCAATACCATGCAAAAGCTGCCAAGGCATAGAACTTGCACCCTCTGAAGCAACAGCCTGAGCTGTATGATGGCCCATTTTAGCCACAGCTGGAGCTGAAACAGCTAGGATGCAGGGCACCAGGTCCTGAGGCTGCACAGAGCATTGAGGCCCCCAGCCCAGGAAACCATTTTTCTCTCCTAGGCTCTGGACATGTGATGGGAGAGGCTGCTGTGAAGGTATCTGACATAACCTGGAGACATTTTCCCCATGGTCTTGGGAATTAACATTAGGCTCCTTGCTACTTATGCAAATTTCTGCAGCCAGCTTGAATTTCTCCCCAGAAAATGGGTTTTTCTTTTCTATCACATTGTCAGGCTACAAATTTTCCAAAGTTTTATGTTTTTTATGTTCTGCTGCTTCTTGAACACTTTGCCACTAAGAAATTTCTTCCACCAGCTACCCTAAATCATCTCTCTCAAGTTCAAAGTTCCACAAATCTCTAGTACAGTGGCAAAATGCCACCCGTCTCTTTGTTAAAGCATAGCAAGAATCACCTTTATTCCAGTTCCCAAGAAGTTCCTCATCTCATGTGAGATCACCTTAGCTGGACTTCATCGTCCATATCATTATCAGCAATTTGGTCGAAGCCACTCAACAAGTCTCTCGGAAGTTCCAAACTTTCCCACATTTTTCTGTCTTCTTCTGAGCTCTCCAGACTGTTCCAACCTCTGCCTGTTACCTAGCTCTAAAGCTGCTTCCACATTTTTGGGTATCCTTATAGCAGCACCCCACTACCTCCCAGTACCAATTTACTATAGTAGTCTGTTCTTATGCTGCTATGAGGAAATACCCGAGACTGGGTAATTTATAAAGGAAAGAGGCTTAATTGACTTGCAGTACCGCAGGAATGAGGAGGCCTCAGGAAACTTGGAATCATGGTGGAAGGGGAAGCAAATACATCCTTCTTCACCTGGCAACAGGAACGATAGTGCCTAGCAAAGGGGGAAAAGCCCTTTATAAAACATCAGATCTCATGATAACTTACTCAATATCATGAGAAAAGCATGGGGGGTAACCACACCTGTGATTCAATTACGTCCCACAGGGTCCCTTCCACGACATGTGGGGATTATGGGAACTACAATTCAAGATAAGATATGGGTGAGGACACATCCAAACAATATCAGCCACTAGATCTCTCACCAAGTTTCAATAATTCTCCTCCCTCTCCTTGCCCTTTTAGGCATAGAACTGGTAACAGCACCTTGTTGCTAATTGCTAGGTACTGAGGACTAAGCTCTGATTTTCTACCTTGCCCAAATTCCTACCTAGGGGGTCTAGGGAGTCATACCCTACAAACCATAAATTCTCATCAGATGGGTTTTATTTGACCCTATATATTGTGACTTAACTTTTCAGTCTGACTCTGGCATAACATTATGAGACACGGAAAAAATATTTAACCCAGAATATATTTCCTTGCCATACCTTAAAATTTTCCTGCAAAGTCTCTTGTGAGGAAAATCCACATCTTATAGAGAATCCCCTTTCTTCTTTGTTTTCTTTCCTTTCTTTCCAGATTCAGGAGAAAATCAACTAAAAGCCAGGCACCCTTTTAGATCCAATAAGAAATATTTTACAATCCGCTGTATCTCTGCATTCTGCTATCTGAGAGATTCCTCTGCACAATAAAACTTGGTCTCCACAATCCTCTATGTTAACCTGAACATTCCTTTCCATTGGTCTCAGGTCTTCACATAAACTCAAACAATTGTCAACCAGAAACTGTCTAAATTTACATATAGCCTAGAAGCCCCCACTTTGAGTTGTCTCACCTTTCTGAACAAAACCACTTTCTAAATGTATTTGATTGATGTCTCATGACTCCCTAAAATATATAAAACCAGGCTATACCCTGACCACCTTGGGCACATGTTCTCAGGATCTCTGATGTTGGCTGTCACCGGCCAACATCACTCATATTTGGCTCAGAATAAATCTCTTCAAATATTTTACAGAGTTTGACTCTTTTGTCAACACTACTTTACCACCTTTTTTAAGTTAGTTTTCTTAACCTGCCACATCTCCATAAATTATCCCCTTTTTAAAGACAGGATCTCTCCTCATCACTCAGGCTGGAGCGCAATGGTGCAATCATGGTTCACTGAAACTTTGACCTTCTGGGCTCAAGTGATCCCCCTGCCTCAGCCTCCCAAGTAGCTAGGACTACAGGGGCATGCCACCATGCCCAGCTAAATTTTTTTAAATGTCTTTATAGATACAGAGTCTCACTACGTTGCCCAGGCAGGTCTTGAACTCCCGGCCTCAAGCGATTCTCCCACCTTGGCCTCCCAAAGTGCTGGGATTACAGGCATGAGCCACCATGCCAAGGATTAGATCTTAAATAGGATTTTGACTGATACAAAACTCAACTCTTTGTTAAAGTATCATCAGCTATATAATAGTAATGTCAGTTTTATTCCAACTTGAACTATTAACGATTGAATAGCTCTGTATCAAATGATTCACTCCTTTGGGAAGTTCTCCATCCCTTCCCTCATACATGTGTAGCCTGTGAACATCATAAGACAAAATGGAAACTAGGTTCATTCCATTTGACAATGCTAGTAGGTTGGTAACAGAAGCCTATGAAGCCACATCAGCTTCATCAGGAAACATTTTCACAATTGATGAATGATACATGCTTTGGGAACAGTGGGTCTTTTTCGCTTATCTATATTGCCTCATACTTCCAAAATGTTTTCTATATCTGTATGTTTTTTATTGTCAAAGCTCTAGTAAAAATACTAGAAATGTCAGAATCAAGATCCAGCTATGTTAATGAGCTCTGTATGAGTTTCACACTGAAGATCAGCTAATTGGCTGTCACTTTTAGATCACCTGGAAGATCCTAAACTTTAATGATGAGCATTTTCTGGCCCCTGACTGTGACTGACACGTGCTCCTTAAGCCCAAAATCTTCTCTAGCCTCTTTCCTTATTAGGGCTTTCATACCTACATCATTTAAGGCAAATAATTTCATGTAGGGTCATGGTCAATATGAGTGAGGATACATGGGGGAAAACTGCCTGACTAGCAACCCAGGTCTTACCAATTCCTAAGTTTTTCCCATGTGTCTGTTGCTTAACACTTTACTTTCTATGTGAAAAAAAAAAAGCTATTTTACTTTCTATGTGTTTTTATATAACTTGCCCCATCACTGCATTACTGTTCAATGTCCGTGCCTCTAATGCTGCATTGTCTCAGCCAATTTAGGGACCCCCACTGGGAAGACAGTCCAGCCAAATCTTTAAAGGTAATAACGTAAGAGAATCTAATACAATATAGCCCTGACTTGTTTGTTGTGATACATCATGTGTCATTTTTCAGACTTCAAGTTTCACTGGGTCCTAACTAGAACAATTTTGAAAGGTTTCTGTTGTCAGAAGTTAAATTAGTTTGTTTGTTGTTTTTTAAGTAGATTAAATTGACTACCACTTGACATTTTTTGGAAAAGAACTCAGAACTTTTCATCCACATTCAAGTCTGATATCTTCTACCCTCTCTTAGAAAATAGATTTAGTACCATCTGGTTTGTTGTAGCAAAATGTTGCAGCAGCATTTGACTCCAAGAAAATAGACTCAGAAATCAGAAATGTGAAAAATGCTTTCATAGTTTCTGTTTCCTTCAATGTAATGAAATCCTAGTGCATACCTTTGTAAATTTAGGTCTAAGACATATGAGTCTATCAAAATGATATCAGGAAGGAAATGGTTTAGTATATTATTGAAGTATCCAAATATTGAGCATTCAGTAGGTATCAAAGAGGCTTTAAACAAAATAATTTACAAAGACAAGTCTTATATCACTTGAATTGCTGATGCCTGGATGGGATATATTTTTTATCTACCCTTAGTTCTCAGTTCTTCTAATCAGCCATAATAATTGAGCTTGATGTCATACATAAAAAAGTAAGAGTACTTTATGGCATTCACAGAAAGGCCTAACCAAAAAAAAAAAGCGTGATACTTAATTCATTTTCTAATTTTCTAATTGATTCTTTATAGAGCCACTTATGGAGACTAATTCCTATTACTTCGAGAGTTTAGGGAAAATGTTTCAATTTTAGTATTTTCTATGTTCTAACAATTTTGTTGGCATGACTAACAATCAACAAATTCAGTTACTGTAGGAAATTGTGGCTAGCACTTTTGACACCACTAATGCAATAAGTTAACAAACTATACATGGCGTGTATCTTTACTGCCTGATCACCAGCTATGACAGCTTTTTAGGTCATCCTTATTTATCCTGCCAGCACACTCATCTTCCAGTAGTTGCACATTACTTTATCCAGCACAGGTACAATGCACCTAGAAGAATTTTTTGACAAAGAGTTTGAGGTCTTCTCAGATTGAATCATTCCCCTGAGAACCTTTTATACCTTCTAACTCTGGTGTCATGTTAATGATAACAGGTGGTGTTGGGCTTATCACTTTTAGTATAAACATGCCTTTTAAGCCTAGCATCGTGCATACCATTTATCTAGAGATCTTCTAGCAACTTGACACTTTTAGCACACCTTTGAGCCAAAAACCCATAAATGCTGGAAAATATTCATCTATATGTATCATTCTTTCTCAAAGATGGCACTACTGGGAATGTCTTCAGTACAATTGAGGGAAAAAAGATAAAGCAAAGTATCCTGTGCTGTGCTGTCTCTTCTTACTTGTAAATCTTCTAAGTGACAAATTTTGTGTTAAGAGTGTGATTCTCAAAGCTGTGAAATGAAGGGGCAGAATTACCTATGCAGAGTAGATGTTTAATAAAAGTTTGCTGGTTAAGTGATGTGATGATATAAGAAAGAGATAAATAAATTGTATTAGTTTCCTAGGGATGCCCCTACTAAGTATCACAAACTGAATAGCTTAAAACACAAGAAATTTATTCTCTCATAGTTCTGGAGGCCAAAAATCCAAAATCAAGTTGTCATCATGGCCATGGTTGCTCTGAGACTCTGGGTAGAATCTCTCCTTGCTTCTTCCCAGCCTCCAGTGATAAACATCAAATCTTGCTATGCCTTGGCTTGCAACTGCATCATTCCAATCTCTTCCTCTGTCATCCTATGGTATATTTCCATCTTCACATGGCATTTTTCCTCTTCCTAGAAGGATATCAGTCATATTGGATTAGAGTCCACTTAATGACCTCTTCTTTACTTGATTACATCTGCAAAGACTCATTTCTAAATGAGGTCACATTCACAGGTACTGGATGTTAGGACTTCAATTTATTTTTTTTCTTGGAGAGGTAGACACAATTCAACCCCTAACACAAGGGCACAGGGATGCACATAGAATAGAAACATTCCTTAGAGCATTTCTGAAAATAACTCTTAATACTGGTATTTTAAATGCTATAATACTTTCTAAGTCCAAACATTCGAGTTGGGTCTCTGAAGTGTTCCTTTTGTTATCCTTATTTCCTTAATTTCTACTTTTTATTTCATTTTTCATACTTTCTTCTGATAATGTTTTCAAATCATCAATATCAATTTAGTTTCCAACTGCTCAAATTTCTGCAACTTATGGATCTTCTGATGACCCATAAGCAACTACTTATTTTTGTGTTCTCTGTTGCAAAGGGGTATCAAGTTACTTAGGCACAAAATGAAAGACCATACCTGTATTCTTGCCTCCATTAAAAATCATCTTGGATATTATATGTAATAAATATTTTCTACTAATCCCAATCCTGATGCTAATGTTAAATGCAAATGCTGTGTAAAAATTGGTAACCCAAATCCTTTATATTGTCCTCACTCTTGAATTTGGTATATGCTGTTGTAACCACCTGGATGATCCAATCACTCCTTGAATAAATATTAATTGAAATTCTAGGCCCAGCATGGTGGCACATGCCTATAATCCTAGCTACTTGAGAGGCTGAGGCAGGAGAATCGCTTGAACCCACGAGGTGGAGGTTGCCCTGAGCTGAGATCACACCACCGCACTCCAGCCTGGCCAACAGAGCTAAGACTCTATCTCAAAAGAAAAAAGAAAGAAATTCTAGCATACCCAAAGTCAGAAAGTCAGATTTGCTATCTGTACTTCAAAATTCATTGCTCTTTTTCCCAGGTAGCCTAATTCCATTAGACATACTCATTTTTTTTTCTAAATAAATCAAACCAGAAGATTTAAAGCCATTGTGGGCTCTTTTGTCCTCAACATTCAATTAATCTCAAGCACACAATGCAGTACACCTCATACACACACAAACACAAAATAGTAACTATGGATGATGATAGATATGTTAAGTTTATTCTCGTAATCATTATGCAATGTATATGCATATCAAATCATCATGGTGTCCACCTTGGAGATATATAATTTTTATTTGTCAGTTGCACCTCAATTCTCCTACATTACCATAAGCTTTTTGGTAACAAAAATCATACTGTAATCACCATGGGTCATAGATCAGGGTCTTGCACATAGATTATTAAATCAACTGAGGAGTACATCATGAAGGAAAAAAGAAACAAGATACTACAAACTATGTTACAATTTTTAATACCACAATATTATATAATATTTAATACCACAATATTATAAGAATAATATCGTGCTACTTAGCTCCCTTCCTCCCTGACTACTATCCCTACAGTCTTTTGAATATAATAATTCTGCTCACAAAGTCTTTCCTTTGCTTTCCTGAGGTACTTCATGATCACTGAAAAAGTGTCAGTTGGGAATTCTTGCAAGGTTGAACAGTCCTATGACTGTTACTCTGGCCATTAAGCAATGAAAGTGTCTGCTGAAATTCACTATTTGGCTAACCAACTATTGTTCTACTAACCAGAGCACTATTATCTTAAGGGTAGTTTAGTACAGTAGCCTTGAGAAAACTCACAAATAGTATCAACAATGTCTGAGTCTTTGACAAACTTCGAAAATGACCCACTGCCAGGCTCAACCTTAATGTATCACAGAGGCAGCCAGAAATGGGTAATTTGCAGTAGAGGATTGTCCTATATTTTTAAAATTTATTTTACCTTGTGCCTGTATCTATTCAGTTGTTCTTGATTTGTGTTTCTGGATATCTGACCATATTCCACACTTTAAATATTAATTGGGAATGCCTGACAAGTGTTTCAGAGATTCTGTCTCTTAGATCTACTTTACAACCTCTTTCTTACCAAGCAATCCAGTTGAAAAGGAAACCCAGATGATGTATTTTGGCATCCATTTGCTAACAAACAAGTACCCTGTCAGACAAATAAAAGAATAAAATATTTTCATGAAGCATGCTGCCAATAACAGCCTATGCTGGCTTGCTTTTCTTACCATTTTAAATGTCTCCTAATCTGTTCCACTATGTAAGAGGCACAGCAATGCATTACTTAGCCCAGTTCAATAATTACATTTGAATGGCAATTTAGAGCTATTAAAGAATTTTTGCATTTTTATTTTATTCCATTGTCAAAACTATTCTATCACTCAGGATTAAATCGTGATATCAGAGCTACTACAAATATTACAGAAATAAGAGGGTTTGTATAGAAATTAACATTTAGAAAAATGTGGTAGGAATGGGGCAAATGAAAATCTACAAGGGAGAAATAAGAGGATTTGAGAAAATAATCATTAGCCATGCCAGCCTGAAGTGCTAACTCAAGTAGACAGTAGGAACTTCAGGGAAATTCAGCAACCATGCAGATTCTATGGACTGTCTACATCTTCTAGGAAGCTTCTACTCTGGAGAAGTTGCTGCCTCTGGAAATCATCACCTTTGTGGGCCTAGAACCAAGTGCCTGGGACCTAGGACCACAGTTGATCAGCTGGGCCAGCAGTCAGGAAAATGAGCTGAGTACAAGCAGCAAAAGAAGGATGACATCCTGAGACCCACCAGACACCTCTGTCAGTCCACCACTGTGTTTGTTTCCCTCAAACTTCCAAGGTAGCTCTGCTTCACTTACACCTTCCAGATCTCATGTGAGTTCTTCTTTTGGCTCATAGTCACTTGGAACCATACAGGAAAAGTGATTCAAGTAAAGGTAGTTGCCAATCTTGGACAGAAGTAGCAATGCTACGTAGACACTGCTGTGCTAAGAGGTCAAAGTGAGATGCTATTAAGCCCATTCTAAAAGTGAAGAAATTAAGATATGGCTTACTTAAAGTTACTTGGCTAAGAAGCAATAGATTCAAGCAAAAGATTTGAAAAACTAACTCATGAAAAGAAGAAATCCAAATGGCTAATACATACATTTTCTATCAATGAAATGTAAGAATCAGATATCACTATATACCCAAGGTAGAAAAAGTTAAAAATTCTGACCATACCAAGTGTTGCTAAGGATGTGGAGAAAGGAAACTGTCAATCACTAATGTGAGGAATATAAATAGACACAACCACTTTGGGAAACAGTTTGGTATTATCTAGAAAAACCAAACATGGCCCGACACGATGGCTCATACCTGTAATCCCAGCACTTTGGGAGGAAGAGGCAGGCAGATCACTTGAGCTCAGGAGTTCAAGACCAGCCTGGGCAACATGGCAAAATTTCATCTCTACCAAAAAAAAGAAAAAATACAAAAATTAGCCAGGTGTTGGTGCCTCGTGCCTGTATCCTGTAGTCCCAGCTACACAGGAGGCTGAAGCTGAAAAATTGCTTGAGCCCAGGAAGTGGAGGTTGCATTGAGCCAAGATCATGTCACTGCATTCTAACCTGGATGACAGAGTGAGATCCTGTCTAAAAAAAGAAGAAAAGAAAAACCAAACATACCCTATCGTATGACTCAACAATCTCTGTCCTGAGTAATATACCTAGAAAAATGTGCATGCCATATATATGTGTGTGCATAAAATGATGTGACATATGTGTCATATGTATGGTATATGCATAAGAGAATGTTCACAATGGTATTATTTGTATTATTTTAAAACTGAAAACTACCCAAATGTCCTTGTACAAAAGAATAAATTCTGACATATTCATTCAATAGAATACTGCACAGCAAGGAAAATGAGTGAACTAGAACTACATACAAAGAACATAGATTAATGTTATAAATGTAATAAAACAACATATGCAAATCAATAAGTATGATTCATCACATAAACAGAACTAAAGATGAAGACCACATGATTGTATCAACAGATGCAAAAAGTTTTTTGATAAAATTCAATATGCTAAAAACTCTCAATAAACCAGGTATTAAAGGAATATATCTCAAAATAATAAGAGCCATTTATGACAAACCCACAGCCAATATCATACTGAACGGGCAAAAGCTGGAAGCATTCTCTTTGAAAACCGGAACAAGACAACGATGCCCTCTCTCATCAGTCCTATTCAACATAGTATTGGAAGTTCTGGCCAGGGCAATCAGGCAAGACAAAGAAATAGACTAAGAAGCTTCTGCACAGCAAAAGAAACTATCAACAGAGTAAACAGATAACGTACAGAATGGGAGAAAACTTTTACTGTGAATTGGACAAAGGTCTAATATCCAGCATCTGTAAGGAACTTAAACAAATTTATGAGGAAAAATAACAAACAACCCCATTAAAAAGTGAGCAAAGAACATGAACAGACACTTCTCAAAAGGAGACATACATGCGGCCGACAATCATATGAAAAAAAGTTCAACATCACTGATCATTAGAGAAATGCAAATCAAAACCACAATGAGACACCATCTCACACCAGTCAGAATGGCTATTATTAATAAGTCAAAAAATAACAGATGCTGGTGAGGTTGTGGAGAAAAAGAAATGCTTATACACTGTTGGTGGGAGAGTAAATTAATTCGACCATTGTGGAAGACAGTGTGGTGATTCCTCAAAGACCTAATACAGAAATACTATTCAACCCAGCAATCTCATTACTGGGTATATACCCAAAGGAATATGAATTGTTCTATTATAAAGACACATGCACATGTATGTTCATTGCAGCACTATTCACAATAGCAAAGACATGGAATCAACCTAAATGCCCATCAATGATGGACTGGATAAAGAAAATGTGGTATATATACACTGTGAAATACTATTAAGCCATAAAAAATAATAAGATATTGTGTCCTTTGCAGGGACATGGATGGAACTGGAAGCCACTACTCTTAGCAAACTAACTCAGGAACAAGAAAAAAATATATAGCATGTTCTTACTTATAAGTGGGACCTAAATTATGAGAACATATTGACACACAGAGGGGAACAAAACACACTGAGGCCTATTGGAAGTTGGAAGTTGGGAGGAAGGAGACGATCAGAAAAAATAACTAATGGGTACTGGGCTTAATATCTGAGTAATGAAATATTCTGTACCACAAGCCCCCATGACACATGTTTACTTATGTAACAAACCTGCACATCCTGCACATGTATCCCTAAATTTAAAAGTTAAATATATATTTAACTTTATATTATATATTATATATAATAAAACAGTAATTATACATGTAATGGATTAGATTCTCTAATTAAAAGACGGAGATCCTTCCCACATTAGTCTTTAAAAAGTACTAGGAATATAACATCTGTAAAAGACACACCCCAAAATGAGAAAGTATGAAAATGATACCCTAGGCAAAAAACGAAATTTTTAAAAACAGTAGGAAACATGAAACATGACAAAATTCAAGGCAAAGATCTTAAAGGAGTAAGAGACAAAGTAAATACTTGTAAAAGGAGCAAGAGCTGATATATCATTAACATATATTTACTTAAAAATGTAGCCCTAGAATATGTAAAACAAAACTGACAAACCCTCAGAGAGAAAATAGATTGATTGACGGCTTTAGGTGGAGATATTCACACTTTCTTTAAAAAATAAACAAGCCAAACAAATTAGACAAAGACATAGAAAGTCTAAATAATATTAACTGCTCTAAATGTCATATTATCTTCCTCCATCTAATTGAAGATAATTCTCTTCCCAATTTTTTAAAGTCAAAAGTGCAATTACCATTAATTTCAATGAGAAAAAAATACATTTCTTCTTGGACACCCAATTTGACATCCATTTTTGTTAAAAACAACATCAAGTCACATTAAAATGGGCATAATGACTTTAATAGTTAACATCATTTACAGTAACCAAAGTAACAAGTCATTTTCCCTACAATAGTTATTCTCAAATATGTATTAGTCTCATTGGTCTACTTTCTTTGTTTCTTTTTTTTTTTTTAGAGCTTATGTGTTTTCCTCTCAGACTATGTTCAGTAATAAAATACACATAATATTCAATGTTTGTGCAATTCAAATCTCATGCGAAAAACCTAGGACAAAAGACATCCTTGAATCCTTGAATCAATACATTTTTATAATGGACAAAATTATCACTAACCTCACAGACCTGCACAATGTTTCAAACCTCACACAGCTCAGCTATATACAAAGCAGGTAAAGTCCCTTTTGGTCCTTATACATCCAATAAAATGCCTAGTAAACCAAAGTAGAAAATATTAAAAGAAATTCTTTGTAAAACTGATATTCTCAGATCCCAAATGACTGTATTGTGTCACTATAAGTCACTGTAACAGAGTGTACAAATTCTTTTCAGACATATAGGAAACATCCACAAGAACCGACTCTGCCTTGGTATACCACCTAGATCTCCTTTACTATGTTAGTATACCCATACCCACCTGCTGTAGGTTTGGGCTGCTTATGGCTCGTATCTGTGCCCTTGTTAGCAGGATTGTTCTTAGCCGGCAAGAGTCACCTTGCCTAAATATGCCTGGGAGGTCATACTCTCCCCCCTCACCCAAAGGGTCAGGATAGCTGTCTGATGTAAGGATGTAACACCCGCCACCTTGCTTTTGGGAAGGACAATTTCTAGGACAAAACTAACATTCCAAAGGTCCCTGTGAGATCAGACTAAGGCTAAACTTCTCCTAAAACACATCTGTGCTTGTCTGCTTCTTCTGATCTATTCTGCTTCTGTCACTCCCTTACAGCCTTCTCTGGAGAACATTCCCTTTTAAATAACTTGCACAAGAATCTCATGCATCTAGGAACCTTACCTAAGACAGGCGATACCAGGAGTAGACCTACTGCTGATGCAGAACATAAAGCTGGATATGGGAGAATTTTTCAATAGTAAGACAGTCTCCTTGATTCAAGATTTAATACCATGGGAAGGAACTCTGGAGTTGGTTTGAATACACTGAGATGGCTCTTAGATGCTTGAAAAACTGATGATCCACATTAAATGTATGCCAGAACTGCTGTGATAGATCGTGGAGGAAGAAATCAACAGATTCAAGGAAGTGGGTGTGCTAATAGAATTGATCTATCATATAAAATATAAAATCCAAGGTAATAAGGAATACTCTGGTTAGGGGTCACTAGCATCATCAAGAAACTCAGAAATTGCCATTCTCTGGAGACCAGTACTGATAGAAACACCATTGGAGAACTTGGGTCCCCAAGTTAGCTAATAAGGAACTTGCTAACTTCCTTATTAGCAATAAGGAAGATAGGAGTCCAAAATAGGAAAAGCCATAAGGCAGCACATAACCATCATAGACAAAAAGGACAAAATTATTAAAATGGACAAGTTAAAATGGCAGCCAAGAGTGCCTGACTCACAGGGGTCTATGGATATGACGCTTGGACATTTGCTATGTATTTCTAGAGGCAAGATAGTAGGATAGACAACATGATATTGCATAATATAATCAAAAAAGATCCAAAAGGATGAATAAAAGGCTGAGGTCACCCTTGCATGAAAAGTCACAATTCCTTGTCTTATTTCCAGATATCAGCCATTTCTCTGACCCAGAACCCATCTACTGAAAGAGAGCCTATTCCCCTTGACCTTGAGGAAAGGCCAGAAATACCACAGCAAATCTACAAAGTAGTGATTCCTCCGGTCTTTCCACCAAAAGGAACTATGGCCATTTACTTGGTTGACCATACACTGGAGAAAGGGAACATTCAGCTCTTTCACATTATCTGTTTAACCCCATATCAATTCATTGTGAAACC
Source organism: Homo sapiens (assembly GCF_000001405.40). Lineage (NCBI taxonomy): Eukaryota > Metazoa > Chordata > Mammalia > Primates > Hominidae > Homo > Homo sapiens. Next base: position 38,521,840 of record NC_000014.9, read on the forward strand.
CTATCATTAATCAGTAACTTCACCGGTGAATTCTACCAGACATTTAAAGAATAATGTCGATTCTACACAATTTTTTCAGAAAATTTAAAAAGAATACTTCCCAAGTCATTTTACAGATCGACGAAATTATCTGCCAGATATCAAGGACAGAATTATCCTAAAATCAAAAATACACACTAATATCTGGGGGTTCAAAGCTCCATTATGCCCCACCCCCTTAGAGTACTCTATATAGAGAGTAGGAGTGTATAGAAGTTGGGTAATAAATATGGCCTAAGGCCGTCATACGATAGGTCCACTGACACACCTGGTGGTATTTTCTCAGTTTCCAAATGTGCAATCAAATTGGATGTACTTAGACATTTGCACTACCCTAATAAAGATTACTTTGTCTGTTAATAAAACTACTATACTAGTGAATGTGAAGCAGAAGCCCCTGAAATTGCTTCTCCCCACTCTCAACCAAGATAGTAAACCACGCGTATATTATATCCTAGGTAGAATTGCAAACATTAGCCTACCCTCGAAAATGTAAACAATGCAGGGATGATGATTCTCATCAGTCCCATTTAATCCACCAGTCTGTTCCCTGAAAACACCAGTCAGGATAACAGCAGAAGACAGTTAACTACTGCCATTTTAACTAAATAGGAGCCTCAATTGCAGTTGATGTCCCAGACATGATATCATTACTAAAATAGATTTTTAATGTAGCTTCTGTTATGTCCCAGTTGAGTTGGCAGATATGTTCATTTCCATACCCATCATGTAGGAAAATCAAAAACAGTTCTTACTCTCATGGGAAAAACAACACTGTGCATTAGTTCTAGGGCTCTGTTTGCTCTCCTGCTTTTGGTCACATTCTCTTCCCTAACATGAACACATAAGGACTAAAAAGAAAAATAACTAGGATTGTATCTTTCTCTTTCCTTGGGTGACATTATTTTCCGGGTAATTTGTTGGCTAATACAAGAAAGTAACATGAGTAAGACAGGATACACTAGGATTCCTCGGTCATTTCTGTACCTTAGAAAACTTTTGCTTTCTTTTTACATTCAAAGCAGGTTCTTATACAAACAGAAAGCAAGGCCACTTGAAGCTGTCAGCACCCCCACTTATTCAGCTGTAGGTGTGTCATGCTTGCCCTGTGCTTGTTTTGAGTCTCACTGAACTCCCACACATCATGGATTCACCAGAACTCTGTGCTAATGGAAAATCAAAACATTTTATGCAAATGAACTATCAAAAATAGTGGACCCACGTATTTCATTCTTCTTCTCTGGTCTCACACACATCCATTGCCCCATCAAACATCACTTACACAACTTAAGTTCAATGGTAAAATTTTTAAGAATTCTGAGATGGCAATGGCAGAACATGAAACCAAGCACAAGTTTCTTCTGAGTGTGAAACCTTACGCAACTGCTCAAGTCACACACCCATGAAAGCCAGGACTGCCAACATGATATTCTGTGGACACTTTCAATAAATGAATGCATTTCATGAAGGAAAATAAGAAATGCATATTAGTATAGCAGTGAGATATTTTCATGTATCAAGCTCTCAAACTCATTTTTTTCAATGATAATTCCTGTCGTTGGAGTTATTAGACCTCCGTGGTAGATTGTTTCTACATTTCTGATATAAAAATTCTTAGTGAGGTTAATCTTCTTTAACACAGCAATTGTACTTATGAAAATCCAATGTAAGAAAATATAAGTTGCAAGCACAGATTCATAATGGAACATGTTCACTGCAGCATCATTTTTAAAAAGGAAAAATTAAAAACAACTTTAATGCCTAAGAGTGGGGCACTAACCAGAAAAAGTTTCATATTTTTATATGATCAAATATTAGGCCATCATACAAAAGCATTTGTATGAAATATATTTGGTGTCATGAAAAATGCCTCACATTATTTAATAAAATAGTAGAAAATTATATACACATTAGGGTCGTGTGTGTATGTATGTACACATATACGACTAGAAGGAATTCATCAAAACATCATTAGTACTGATATTGGCAGAGGAATTATAGGTGATTTAGCTTCTTTATGTTTCCCACTTTTTTCTTCTGCCGCCCTTAATTTCTTTTGAAAATTAAAAATGTGTATGTATGAAATACCAATCAGAGGAAAGTCTTCAAATTAATTCTAAGCATTTTTAGGACTTTATTAATATTGTAGAATGCATTCATCTGTTTCTGGTACATTTTGCATAATTTGTGTTTCTGTTCATCCCTTCAATTACTTTGTGAAATCAATTGCTTTTAGTTCATGCTATTGAGCCCACGAGACAAATACAGAACAGTGTGAAGGTAATGATGGTTATATTGATGACAAAAAAGAGCCAAACACTCAAATGGCTTGTATCTTTGTGGTTTTTTATTTAGGTACAAAATTAAAATTTCAATTGATGCTTGAGGCTTTAGCCCAACACTTCTTATCCTGTCTCTCAGTAAGATGAGATCTGGCACAACTGATTCAATTAGGTACTTGAAATGCTGCAGAAATGGCCTTAAGGATGCTATTGCTGCTATTGTACACAATTATTTCCTCAGTAATTATCATTATATTTTCATAGAATTTTAAGTAGTAGTTATTCTTGCATATTTTGTAGTTTTGCTTATATTACAAGTTTAACAGGAGAAATACACTATCACAGATTGATCAATACTTGAATATTCATGACAAAAACACATACATTCCTATTAAGAAAAGTCTAAATAGTCCTTTCTAACTCTGTAATTAAAAAAGAGAAAAGCAATGAATCAATTATTTTCATTTATTTGAACCAACATGGGCAACTGCCTACAGAAAAACCATTTATAAATTATTTTGTAAAGTGCTTTAGCATGTATTTGAACTTTCTAAGAAAGAAAGAATGCATCATTGCCTCTTCCCTAAATAAGTAATTATTTCAAGGGAAGAGATTCACACTGAAAATATTTAGGTCAAAATGACCTGTCCTTTCCTAGTCTGATTCAACTAGCACAGAGTCTATATCCTTACCCCACAGCATCTGCCTGCATTGCCACTCTGAGCATCGAGCATCAGGAGTTAACATCAACCTAAGATTTTCAAGGTTGGAGGTAGCCTTGCAAAGACATTGAGTCCATTGGTTCTCAAATGAGTCTGTTTACATAATCATTTTAAGGGTTTTCTGTGAAATAAATAAAATAGAGACAAAATAATATATTTCATAAAGTTAATTGTATTCAGTTTGAAGTCATGTGCTTTAATCTTAGAAAATATCCTTTTAACTTTTTTGGTATTAAAAATATCCTCTGTTATTGAAAGGTAATAAAAAATTAGGTGCCTTTTTTCTTGTTAATGTTCTTACTGAAAAAATTGATGACTCAGCATTGATTTTCTTGGAAAACTGACTGCTTCTGAATATCTAAAGTCTAAGACCAAGTAAACAAAGAGAGCTTGTTTTTTGCATAAGCTTGGAGCAGCTGGTGAGAAAGAAGTACTTGTGGGGTATGGTAGCCTGTGAGCAGCTTTGAAGCAAATGGATAGTGTAAACCAAATATTATCTGAGACAGGTCTCAATCAATTTAGAAGTTCATTTTGCCAAGGCTAAGGACATGGCTGTGACACAAACTCAGGAGGTGCTGACAACACGTGCCCAAGGTGGTCAGACTACAGCTTGTTTTTTTTCACTTTAGGGAAACATAAGACATCTATCGATACATGAAAGATTATGTTGACTTGTTTCAGATAGGTAGGACAATTCAAAGCAGAGGCTTCCAAATCATAGGTGAATTCAAAGATTTTAGTTTATCTGAAGACCTGGAATCTATAGAAGGGAGTATTTGGATTAAGATAGGGGTTGTGGAGACCAAGGTTCTTATTATGCAGATGAAGCCTCCAGGTAGCAGGCTTCAGAGATAATAGATTGTAAATGTTTCTTATCAGATTTTAAAAAGTGCCAGACTCTTAGTTAATTCTCTCCTGCATCGGGAAAAGACGTTGGAAAGGAATGGGGGTTCTCTACAGAATGTAGATTTTTCCCCACAAGAGACAGCTTTGTTAGGCTATTTCAAAATATGTCAAAGAAATTTATTTCGGGTAAAATACTTCCATTTCTTTAAGGGCCTGCTATCTGTCAAGTGATGCTATACTAGAGTCAGGCTGGAATTGCTACAAAAAGTCTATTTCATCAGTCTTAATATCTGTTTTGATGTTAATGCTGGTCAGCTGTGCCTGAATTCCAAAGGGAGGAGGGTATAATGAGGCATGTCCAACCTCCACTTCTCATCAGGGTCTTAACTAGTTTTTCAGGTTAACTATGGAATGCCTTTAGCCATAAGGAGCGGTCATTCAGTTAGTTGGGGGGCCTAGAATTCTATTTTTGGTTTACAATAGGATTGAAAAAATCTGTGTAATCTTAGAGAAATTATTTAACCTAGTTGGGTAATTAATTTCTTTGCTTATACCTGCTGAACTAATGTTACCTTTATCTCAGGTTGTTGTAAAAGTTAGACAAAGTAATGAGTGGTTAGTTAACTCTTTAATCTCTCAATGCAAATGTCACCATCTCAGAAAAACCTCATTTGTTCCACCCTATCTAATGTGCAGTCTCTTTTCACCTACCTACCTGACCATTCTCTATTCCATATAAGGGTACTTATCACCATGGATTTATTTTTATTTCTTTGTTTACTGTTGTTGTTCATTGTCAGTTTTCCCAACCAGAATATAAGAGTCACAAGAGCAGGGACCTTGTCTATCCTATTCCCACTGAACCTCCTGCAAGGAAAATATTGGCAAAAACATCTCAGTACCCAATAAATATTTATTAAATATGAATGAATATAAAGTGTTTGACACAAAAAGACTCAATAAATGTTAGTTCCCTTCTTTCTGACTGAGGGAAAATCTGTCTCCCTAAAATGTTACATAGGCCTTCATCCTCCAAGGCCATGTCTCCTTCTCCAAACATACATTCCCCAGTAAGAAGTAATTCTTTAGGTAACTGTTATTTGATAAGGTCATCTTTATTTCAGAGTTTGCTACAATTAAAAATGATGATGTGATGACAACCTCAAGTTGGGCATTAGATGCAGATTTAGTTTACTGAATAAAAAGAATGCCTAATCTGGGGGATTCATACAGATTGCCAAGGAAATGTCATTTAAAGCCTTCCATTTTAAGACTATGTGCAGTACCTGGTAATTGCTTGTATTAATTTGCATTTCAATCAGTATTGAAAAAAATCTCACTAGGCAGTGGCCTTTAGCTAAATTGTCTTATTCTGTTAAAGCCAACATTAATGAATAAAATGTTTAACTTATCACAAACACACCAAATGCTAGTATTAGAAAAGGGAAAGAAGGAGAGAAGGAAGGAAGGAAGGAAGGAAGGAAGGAAGGAAGGAAGGAAGGAAGGAAGGAAGGAAGGAAGGAAGAGGGTGGGAGAGGTGGGAAGGAGGGAGAGAGTGGGGGAGGGAGGATACTACTGAGCAAAAAGCAAAATCACAAATAAGAAAGTCAAAGGCTTCAGAGTCAGTCTCTACACATCAACACATCAGAAACGAAGGCCTCAAGGAAGGCTTTTATACATCTGAGATGCCAGAAATGGTCTTTTCTGAGGAGGCTGAGGCACTAGCCCAACAGAGAAGTGTTTTTCATTGTCTTTCTTTCTTTTTAAACTCATTTACTACTTAGATTAAAGAATAGTGTTTTCCAACCATAATGCAAACATAGATATCTGGGACAAGAATACAAGAGTCTGAGTCAGACAATCCCTGTCTTAGTCTTGATTGTCATCTATCACTCACTCCAAGTACTCACTTAGTGTCTTGTATATCAGAGACTGGCAGCCATTAAAACTCAATTTGTCAAAGCTCCAGCTCTTTTCCCTTGACAGGAAGAGTGTCCAATGCAGCTGTGGGAAGTGGTGGGAAAATGGACCAGGTAGTTGGTGGAAACACAAGCCAAGACTTAGTATGTCTATGTCTGTTTAGCACAGAACTAGAAGATATAAAAGATATTTAGACTTCCAGTTTGGGGTCCAATATGTAAAATGTTTGTAAATTATCATTTCCATCCTTATGACAAGAAAATGATGGGGGAAAAAAAAACAAAACAGAAATTCAGTGACTTTTCTTGGACCCACTGGATAACTGAGGTCACAGGAGATCTAGGCAGATCCAGAGAGATGCAAGTGAGAGCTGCTCACCTGGACCAGAAGCCACTGGGGCCATAAACTGGTAGGAAAACTTAAATGGTAATTTTGATATATTTCTGGAGGATGAGTGTGGACTAGCTTGAGAGTGAGAATATCCTGGGGACTGCAAGTCTTAAAGAGCCCTTTCATGGGTTCTGCCTCTAGGAATGCTACCAGGTTCTCATGGTCAAGAGCCAAGAAAGATCACCTTCTGGCTATAGCAAGGGGAAGGGAAGAGTAACCATTGCAAAATACGCCTACACGTTCTATATAACAAAGACCTACTCACCAGAGGGAAAGACTTTGCCAGAGGCTTATCTCATCTAGAATAAGGGCATTTTCTCCCACTACAGCACCCTCTAGCATTTATCTCACTTAAGGGAGTGGGTAGTGGGTGAGCTAAGAAACCCTCGAGAAGGTCACAGTCCAGAGATACCTGCCCACTAAAAGATTGAGATTTAAAGATAAGATAATGGCAAACTTCCTCTCCCCCATAATTTACCACCACAATGAAAGGGCTCCAGTAAAGCAACAGGGGATTCAGCTGAAAGAGGTGCAAGAATCAGACTCTTTTTAAGGAGTAATTTTTAGGAAAAACAAAAGACAACAGGAGAGACAAAAACAAGGATGCCAGAAAAGTTGAAGCCTCTGGTACCTACAGCTACAACAAATATCAACACAGTTCAATTACTAGCCAAATTGGCAGAAAAAACTCATACTAAAGGTTCATTTCCCTTAGTTCCCATTACCCAATATATCATGGCCAGATTTCAACAACCACATTACAAGGTGTGCTAAAACACACACACACACACAAAAACATGCTGTGAAGAAACAAAGCAAACATCAGAATCAGATTCAAATGTGAAACAGATGTTGGTACTATCAGGCCTGAAATTTTAAATAATTATGATTATGATTAATATGCTTAGATCTCTAACAGGTAAAAGTAGACAACATGCAAGAACAGAAGTGATATATAAGCAGAGAGATGAAAACATTAAGACAAATAAAAAGGAAACACTAGAAATTGAAAACACTGTAACAAAAGTTAAAGAATGCCTTCAATGGGCTCATCAGCAGATTGGACATGGCTAAACAATCAGTGAGACTAAAGACACATCAATAGAAACTCCAAAACTGAGAAGCAAAGAGAAAGGAGAATTTAAAAAGAAAATAGAATACAACACTCAAGAACTGTCAGATAGTTTTAAAAGGTATAACTTACACATAATTGAAACACCAGAAGGAAAAGAAGGAGAAAACAGAGCAGGAGAAATATTTGGAGTAATAATGGCTGAGAATTGTCCAAAATTAATGACACCAAACCACAGATCCAGGAAGCTAACACCAAGCAGGGAACACCAAACAGAATACCAAGAAATATATTATTTGGTATATTATATATAAACTGTTAAAAACCAAGGACACAGGGAAAATCATGAAAGAAGCCATAGGGGTAAAAGAAAAGTACCTTACCTATGGAGGAAGAAGGGTGAGAATGACAGTGGACTTCTCAGTGGACACCATGCAAGCAAAGAGAGTGACATGAAATACTGAGGGTTGAAAGGAAAAAAATCCACTAATCTAGAAATTTATGTCCAGCAAAAATATCCTCCATAAGTAAGGGTGAAATAACAACCAAGAATAATGAGCATAAGGTATTGTTCCTGCTATTGTAGTGGCTTTTAGCTCCACTCACCCTCAAAAGACAAAACCAAGGGACTATAAGCTGGTTCCAGTAAGCTGATCATCCTTACTGGAAACATGAGGAAGAGGGAGTGACAGAGATCTGGGCTGCATTAGGAAAGACAGTCCCTAAAATTGAAATGTCAAAATAATAGGATTGTTGGTGGGGTGGGGGGTTAATGCAAGGATAGACATAAAGTGTGCTGAATAGTGAGTTTTCAATATGCAACGGGTTGCTTTTATTACTAAACCTCATATCTTTTGTGGCCTCATGGTGTTTCTCCCTAAAATAGCCAACCACATGCTAAGCACCAATTGTACCTAACCCCTCTCGCCTCAAGGAATTTAAAATCTATAGACATTCAGAGAAATACATTAATAATAGTAAAATATCATATAGCAGTAGAAACAAACGCTAAATTATGAGCTACAGGCAATAATCTTTCAGTCAAGTCTAATCAAGAAATATTTATTGAGCTTGTTATGTACTTAATGTGTTTCCCAAAAATTCATATGTTGACATGCTAACCCCCAATGTGATTATATTTGGAGGTGAGACCTTTGGGAGATGATTAGAGTGATATAAAAATCATAAGGGTAGGTTCTAATATGAGATTAATGTCCTCATAATAAGAGGAAGAAAAAGATCCCTATCTCTTCCCCCTGAGCACTTGTACTGAGGAAAAAAGCCTTTTGTGAACAGGTGATAAAGCAGCTTTCTTCAGGCTAAGGAAAGAGGCCTCCCCAGGAACCAAATGGTTCGACAGCTTCATCTTGGACTTCCCAGCCTTAAGAACTGTGAGAAAATAAATTTCTGTTAAGCCACCCAGTCTGTGCTATTTTGTTATGGCAGCTGAAGCAGACTAAGACAGAGCTTTCACTCTGTGTCAGACACTCTTGTAATCTCCAGAAATTTGCATTTAAGGAGTGGAAACAAAAATAAGATAAAGATAGAAGAAAGTTATATATATATATATATATATATATCTGTGCAAGTTGTGCATAGAATTAAAACTGAATAATGTGATTGATGATAGATGATAGACAAATAGATAGATAAGGTTTCCAGGGAAGATCTGTCCTGATAGAAAATATATAAGTTGAGATCTAAATAACAAGAAAGAACCAGCTGTGAAAAGATCAGAGATAACATTCCAAAAAGGGAACAATTAGGAAAGGTGTGAAGTAGGCAATTGGGTGTATAAGCCTGAATTTTAGGGCAAAGGCCAGGAATGGATGTATCAATCTGTGAGACTTATGGATTGTATTTAAAGCCACAAGCTTGGCAAGATTACTTATGCAGAGTATGTAGGCAGGGCACAGGACTGAACCTTTGGACATTCCAAACATTCATGGTTAGGCAGCAGAGGTACCAGGAAAGATGTATGAGAAGGAATAGCTAATGAGACAGGAGGAAAACCCATTTCAATTCTACTCAATAGAAGACTAAAGAAAATATGTTTGCAAAATAACAGAATGGTTAGTGCTGCTGAGATATGAGGAAGATAAGACCATAGAGATAACTCTTGAATTTGGCAACTTGAAGGTCATAAGGGACCTTGACTAGTCTTTGTGGTGTGATGAAGACAAGAGCCTGAATGGTCTGTTATGGAAGCAAGTGAGGTGAGGAGCAGAGATAGTGACTCAAGAAGTTTTGCCATGAAAAGGAGTAGAGAGATGGGCAGTCTCTGAGGGGCATCTAGAGTAGGCACAAAGCTCCATTTAGGTTTAGGAAGCCTAATGGAAATGGTAGTGCCTAAGCCACATCAGGTGAGAAGAACTGTGTGAGGAAAGACAGAAGACCCAGTTGAACACATCTGGCCCCTCTCCTGCTCTGCCTCCATTGCCTTGGACTGGTGCTTCTTTTCTCTGAGGATTTGCGTGGTTCTAGTTATGGAGGAAGAAGATGCGGGCCATCATATTTGTTTCTTTATCTACATTATGGAGATAACGACATCCCTCTCCTAAACACTAAGACATCTAGACAACTGTAATGTAAAATTAGTACTAACAACCAAAGTTCCATTTGATTAAGAAAATACTAATTACTCACACCAATAAATGGCTGCAACATCTAGTCCCCATTCAATTTGGGGAAATTAAAGGAAATGTGAGATTCCATGAGCAGCGGCTTAAGAATCTAGAGGAAGCTTCATTCACTCTTCAGTAGAAGCTTCTTTTCTTAGCCAAAGAAACAACACAGCCTGCATCTCCAGTGTAATGCCTTGACCAAACATGGAAATAGCAATGATAGGGAATCAGTGCCTACCATGACTTGAGGTCTCAAACTCAGCAGGAAGTCTATTATGCCTCTATAGGCTGTGTCCCTCTTAAAATCTGTATTGGTCAGGGTTCCCCAGGGAAACAGAACCAATAGGATATAGGGAGAGAGGATGTGTGATTAAATAATTGGTGTATTACACTGTGGTGTCTGGCAAGTTCAAAATCTGCACGACAGACCAGTAGGCTGGACATGCAGGGATGAGTCAATGTTGCAATTCAAGTCTTGAAGGCAATATGCTGGCAGAACTTCCTCTTCCAGAGCAGTCAGGTTTTATTTTTTTTTTTATTAAGGTCTTCAAATGATTGGGTGAGGCCTACTTACATTATGAAGGGTAATCTGCTTTTCTCAAAGTCTACTGATATAAATGTTAATCTCATCTTTAAAAAAAAAAAAGGTTTACAGAAACATCTAGAAGAATGTTTGACCAACCATCTCTTTTCCATGCCTAGCCAAGTTGACACAAAAAATTATTAACCATTACAAGTCTACCCCTCATCAACATGGCACCCTTACATATCTTCTTAAATAATACTAATCTCCAAACAAAGATAATAGCAAGGTAATACCTCCACATGACATGATAAAATTATCCCGCGTTTTCCAGAAAGGCACTAACGCTTTCTGTAGAGGAGGATGTGGAGTACTTGGGTGATATGCTCATTCTGCTAACAGATTCCATTTCTCAGAATAGTGCCCAGGGAAGAGCCTCACTAAAAAAAAAAAAACAGTAATGAAATCATGGCTTCCCATGGAATGTCAATTTATGGCTGCTATTTTAAGAGATCCTTTAATTACTTGTTTTCTGGAGCAGTAGGTTTGCCACATAAAACCATTTTCTTTTATCTGTTGAATGTTCAAACTTAGCTCTAAATTCTGACTCTGATACAAATACTACATATGTGACAGAAAAAAAGAAAACCTCATGAATTAAATTCAGAATGTCTCTTGCATTTTCTTTCTCTCACCATGTGATTTTTTTAGCCCTTTGGGAGAAGGGACAGAAATTTGCATTGCACAGAGTACTTTGTGCAAATAGCATTAACAGTAAGTATAGATAACTGATTTGAGGCTTAAGGAAAAGCTAAACAGTAAATTGTTACAAATAAATTTTCTACCGTAAAGACTGTGGTTTAACTGATATATTTAAGAGCCAGATTCTTGGAAGGAGCTTACCAATGGAAAAGATACAGTGTTAGTAACATTGTAAACTATTGACCTCAATCTTTCCTTCTGCACTGGTTCACAAATGCTTTGCCATATAGGATTTTTAATGATATCCAGTTCTCCCGCCTGGTAAACATAAGATCAAATCTTGCTTTACAAAGAGTATTTGGATACGCTCTATCCTTGCAGATAATATGTGCTGATCACATTTGTGGAGTGAATATAAGAAATAAAGAAATTAAAAGTGTTCCTAAGGGGAACATCACACACGAGGGCCTGCTGGGGGGTGGGGGACTACGGGAGGAATACCATTAGGAGAAATACCTAATGTAGATCAAGGGTTGATGGGTGCAGCAAACCACCATGGCACGTGTATACCTATGTAACAAACCTGCACATTCTGCACATGTATCCCAGAATTTAAAGTATAACAACAACAAAAACCTAGATTAAAGAAAAAAAAGTTTCCCTAAACTCTTGTTATTAACAAACAAAATCTCACACCAAAAGTAAAGCTAGAGACTAGAAGAGAAACTACAAGCTGCTTAATCTCAAAGCTGGGGTAACGTAAGTAAAGTGCATTCAGGTCGAAGCCTGGAGGAGAGATGACCTGAAGCTTGGTAAGTTCTTCAAACCTGTAGCAGCAATAATATCATCCCATGCTTTCATCCTATGCCTGTCCAATGGGTACAATGAACTGTAATGGTGAGATACTCCTGAGATGGCAGCCTTCAGAAAAGACTTTTTGACACATAAAGCTTGTCGATACTGACCCTTGTTTGTAAGCGTTCTTTAGTAATGTCTGTACTGGAACGAAGAGTGTCCCCTCAAAATTCACGTCCATCCAGAAGCTCAGAATGTGACCTTTGGAAATAGTGTCTTTGTATATGTAACTAGTTATGTTATAGCAAAGTTATACTGGATTACGGTAGACCCTAAATCCAATGACTGATGTCCCTTTAAGAAGACTATGTAAAGACACAGAGAAGAAACCATATGAAGACCAAGGCAGAGACTGGATTGATGCATTGCAAGCTAAGGAATGCCAAGGATTGCCATCCATCACCAGAGGCTAGAAAAAGCAGAGGAAGATTCTTTCCTAGGGCCTTTGGAGGGAGTATGGCTCTACTGAAATCTTCTTTTCAGACTTTCAGCCTCGAGAACTATAGAAGAATAAATTGCTGTATTTTTAAACCATCCAGTTTGCAGTAATTTGGTTATTTATTTATTTATTTATTTATTTATGTTGAGACAGAGTCTCACTCTGTAGCCCAGGTTGGAGTGGAGTGGTGTGATCTCAGCTCACTGCAACCTCCGCCTCTTGGGTTCAAGCAATTCTCATGCCTCAGCCTCCCAAGCAGCTGGTATTACAGGCATGCACCACCACACCTGGCTAATTTTTATATTTTTAGTAGAGATGGGGTTTTGTCATGTTGGCCAGGCTGGTCTCGAACTCCTGACCTCAAGTGATCCACCCACCTCGGCCTCCCAAAGTACTGCGATTACAGGTGTGAGCCACTGTGCCTGGCCCCAGTTCATAGTAATTTGTTACAGCAGCCATAAGAAACTAATTTTAAGTTAATAATAATTTGCAAATGAAATCTATAGTCTCGTGGTTTAAAAAATTATTTATTGGGCTTTTAAGTTATAACAGCAATACAGATTTAATCTAACAAATCAAAATGTAGAAACTGATAAAGCCAAAAGTAAAAGCCATACCTTTATAACACAGATTTTACCCTGAATATTTATATTTTTGACTTTTTCTATGAATATATATAAGCACCTTTTTCTTTTTTTCTTTTCTTTTCTTTACAAAACTAGGATCATCCTGTGCATGTTTTTCATCTTGTTTTTCATTCACTATGTTAAAAAAATATATGGACACTTTTACATGTCAATATATAGAAATCAACATCCTCCTTCGAGTAGGCTATGTAATATTCCATTAGAGCCACCATCTCATAATTCACATTTTATAAAATTCACATTTATTATCTACTATGTGCTAGGAACAGAATATTTGTTTTCAAGGAGGAGGAGAGATACATAAGTAAAAAGGAAGTTATATGGCAGTGTGAAAAATCCTTCAGTGGCCTCAAGCACAAGAAACTGTGGGGAGGGTAGGTAGGATATTCCAAGCACAGGGAACAGATTATGCAAATGACCCAAAATAAGAATAATAGGGTCAAACAAGCAGAATCTCATCATTCTCACAAGTGACTGTAAAGAAAAAACAATTCATATGAGAGCTCTGGATTCTAAAACCTGATAAATTTTCCCAGATTTAAATAGACTCATTTTCAAGAGGGGTATGTAAAATTATTTAATGATCAGTTGGCTCAACACAAGGAACTATTTGGCAGGAGTACTTTATCAGTTTTAACAAGTATGACTTGCTCTACTAGTGTCTTACAAGATGCATACTTCATTATCTTATGGGTCCTGGCCATTGGCACATAGACTCTAATGAATCATAGTTTAGATTTCAAGGATGCTTTTTCAAGGATGCAACACTGAGGTGGGGCTCCCAACAGGCATTACCCCAGCAAATGAGGCCAAAGACCACAGCTAAAGTGATCTTAACCATGTTGAAGAATTCTGAAGGTAAAATTCTCAAGCTCAATCTAAATGAGCCCCATAGAAGGATGATTTATTACCAAAGGACATAGGAAAATGATTAGCCTTAATGAAGCACCTTGTAGTTTATGCAAATTGGATCTGATTCACCACTGATATTGGACTTAAAATTCCTAATGACGTCTAGCTAATCAGCTTAATCACAGAGATGCCTAATGGGCTTTTTGTCTGAGGCCTTGATGTACTGCCTGGCTTTATTATGAGGTGATGGGGTGGGAGGCTACATGCCAACCATTTGCAATGGAGTGGGATAGTCTAGACACCAAGTTGCTTCCATTTGGGAATACCTGAAACCTTCTCTCCACCTCATCTTTCTCAGTTCCAGTTATTAGGAGGAGAAACAGGTCTAAGTTCCCACCAATAATGCAAAAGGGCCCAATTATAGCAGAAAAAATTGAGACAGATACCCCCAAATCAGTTCATCTAAAAGTTTTTGATAATCAAGGTATTAAGAAAAATGTCCAATTGTTCATTCTGTAGGACTTTGGAATAAACCTGATGGATGAGAGGTTTAGGCTGTCATAGCTGCAGTGCAATAAGGAAATGAAAGAGATGAACCCAGAAATCATTTTCAGATAATTTAATTGACTTTAAGTCTGAAATAAATATGTAATGGAAGTTGTACTGTGTTATTAAGGATAAATTATCATTGAATTATTCTCTAATAGCTGATGCCTCAGGAACTATTTGGCAAATTCTTGTACCACGGGTGCATGCATGAGTCCTGGCTGAATGCTGTCTGCTCACCCACATGGCTATCTGTCTGAAAGTGTCTGTGGCAATGGAGCCTGACTAAGACCAACATTTTATCCAGTTACAAAGCAGTTTATCAGCTGCCGGCATGGAGAAACTTCCTCAGCTAGTTAAGCCTTGCCTTATAATCATAATTTCTCATTCCTAGTCCCAGAATACTTTCCACTTAGCAGATCTTGCTTCCTGGCTTTATTGCTGAATCAGCCAATAATAACTAATTTTATGTCTCCTTTGAATCCTGCCAATCTGGCTTATTTGGGGAGAGAGAAAGTAGGAGAGTCAATCAAAGTAGTCACATTTCACAGTCTCTCTGACAGCTTTTCAGAAGGAACTCATCTAAATTGCATTCCATTCACTCAGTCTGATGGATGTTTACTCAGAGGGTGCAGCAGCCAGTGGAGGGGCTCTGTTAAGCACTTGCGAAGGGCCTCCAACACCACACAGATAATCCCGGCCTTAGCTGTGTCTCCACTTGGATGTCTCAGGCCTCAGTGTTTTGGATTCCAAGAACTAATAAAATTGTCAAAGAATGTTGGTAGCCAATCCATATTTACCAGATTTTAGCAAATCTAGTTAGCAAACTGTCATCATTTCAGGAAAAGATCATTTTTAAACAACAACAACAACAAAACAGGAAGTTATTAACTAAGAATTTTTTTTAAATCTTAGCATAAAAGGAGCATTATGAAAAATTCATTGCATTGTCCTTCTTTTTCCATTTTTCTTCAAATTGGTGCAAACTTTCTTGCAGAAATGTGCCCTAGAAGGCAAAAACAATTGTTTTCCTCTTTATTTGAGGAAGATTAATAAGGAGAGAAGTGCAACAAATGAGAGTGTGTGTGACTTTCCATGCCAGTCTGTCTGTGTCCTTCTCCAGCAAATGTACCCAGGCACAATTTGAGGCCTTTTTCATGCCCTATGACCACGACTCCCCTCCGCAACTATTACCTCAGGAACCCTCCTGAACCTCCTAGAATCTCGCATTGGACACTATCTTTTTAATATGTATCATATGTATGCTATTCAAAATTAAAAGTAAATTTTGAAGAAAAAAAACTCTACTTATGAGCCAATGTAACAGAAGAAAAAAAAACTTATATTTTTTCTATTTCAACAAATGTACACTCTATAATAAAATACCAGTATTCTCTCACAACATAAAGTTTTTTCTAAGGAAGCTTTTATTTTTCTAGTGCTGATGCTCATCACAGACAATGCTGTCACAAAACCACCTGATGTGTGTCCTGTACTATGCACTACGGGATTGGGGAAGTTAATTAATCAGAGTTCTCTAGAGGGACAGAACTATAGGTTGATGCAAAAGTAATTGCTGTTTTTGCCATTAAAAGCAATGGCAAAATAAAAGGATAGACATACATATGAAGGGTAGTTTATTAAGGAGTATTGACTCACACGATCACAAGGTGAAGTCCCACAATAGGCCGTCTGCAAGCTGAGGAGCAAGGAAGCCAGTCCGAGTCCCAAAACCTCAAAAGTAGGGGAGCCAACAGTGCAGCCTTCAGTCTGTGGCCGAAGGCCCAAGAGCCCCTGACAAAGCACTGGTGTAAGCCCAAGAGTCCCAAAGCTGAAGAACTTGGAGTCCGATGTTCAAAGGCAGGAAGCATCCAGCAGGGGAGGAAGATGAGGAATGGAAGACTCAGCAAGTCAAGTCCTTCCACGTTCTTCTGCCTGCTTTTATCCTAGCTGCACTGGCAACTGATTAGACTGTGCCCACCCAGATTGAGGGTGAGTCTGCCTCTCCCAGTCCACTGACTCAAATGTTAAT
Source organism: Homo sapiens (assembly GCF_000001405.40). Taxonomy (NCBI): domain Eukaryota; kingdom Metazoa; phylum Chordata; class Mammalia; order Primates; family Hominidae; genus Homo; species Homo sapiens. The sequence continues at coordinate 38,538,331 of NC_000014.9, forward strand.
CTCCTTTGGCACCACCCTCACAGACACACCCAGGAACAATGCTTTGCATCCTTCAATCCAATCGAGTTGACAATCAATATTAACCATCACAGGAAGTAAACAAGGAGACCAAGCTCTCCGTGTTAGTCCCATGGACAAGTTACTACACCTCTCTGAGACTCTCTTGTGGTGTGGAGATATGAATATTTTTCAACTCAGAGCATTATTGCAAAGACCAGCTTTGGCATGTAGAAATACCTTGTAAACTATAAAATTATCTACATGTATGAGATATCATAGTTATTGATTTTTAATAGAAAGTGATAAAAAAGTAATCGTTTTCAAAAATAAATTCCAGAGTAATAATGACAATGATGATAATGATGATGATGGCAGCACAATGTAAAAATAAGAAAAACATTTCTTTAGGGCTTTCTTTGTGCCAAGGCATTTGCACTAAGCACTTCATGTCATTTTTCATGTAATCCCCACAACAATGCCATGAAGCAGACTCTACTATTATCACAGTTTAATAAATGAGAAAATTGAATTTTAGATAAATTGATAGACTTGCCTACTTCACACAACAAGCATAAGTCAGAGCTGCGATTCAAGCCCTGGTTCTGTCTGATTCATAAACCTTGCAAGCAAAGCTTAGCAAAAAAAAAATCAGAAAGCCACCAAAAAGACCTTTCTTGTTTGTTAAAGCTAAGCTTAGAGCAAAGAGAAAAAAATAAGTAGAGCTTGGCCTAAATCTTAAAAAGATGTAAAACTTAACTGATGACAGAAATGAAATAGAGATATTAAACTATTTTGCTTCCCTTTACAGCATCACAAAGAATAATTGTCAAACTGGAAAGAATAAATACAGTTAAAGGAAAACCAAAAACTGAGGTAGAATTTTGATATTAGAAGGAGCCTCAAAAAATCATACAGTTTTATGTTTTTCATAACAGATAAGGAACCAATATTTTAGGTGCCTTGCTCAAAGTCATAAGTAAGTCCTTGACAATATTTGGACAGAACTCTGGCATCCTGACTCCTGGCTTAATGCTCTTTCCACCTATTATGTTTGAGAGATAATAATGAAGCTCAAGTCCCTGGGTTCCAATGAGTCAAATTACACAGGATATGGAATATCTGATGGTAATTTCTCAAATCACAGAAAATGAGAAATAAAGTGGAAGATAAGAGTTATCCTTACACTGCACAGCAAATAGAATAAGTATTATTAATTTGATTAGAGGTACTGCTTACCTTGTTTGCTCACTCTGCACCAGAATTTATCTTATGCATCAAGGAAAGTTCACAATTTATTTAGCTATGTATCAATAACTGGAGAGTTCCCTTTAAATTTTAGATGCTATAAAAGTTAATGGAACATAGGTAGACTTTTACTAAAAAATAAGAATTGTATGCATCTCATCACATATACGCTAGCTATATTACCTGCCATGATGAAAAGAATCATTAATCACTTTTAAATAAAGTTTAATACAAATAATTAAAAAATAATGTTGGCATTTCAGTAATTTCCTGTAATTGTAATAATTAATGTAGGGTTGAAATATTTCTCAATTTAGTAACAAAGTTTTTTGGTTATTACATTTGTCATTCTATGTCCAGAGTACAAATGCATGAACCCATGCTACTTTGTCCTGGACCCACTACATAGGGCTGCCCCTGTAAAAGGTCATTCAGTATTACTGTCTGCCTTTTTGACTTCTTGATTTTCAGAGTAAAACAAATTTTCTTTAGGACCTGCAAATATTAGGTTGATACAAAAGTAATTGTGGTTTTTCCCATTTCTTTAATGGCAAAGCAATTACATTTGTACCAACCTAATATTTTAAAGAAAAGAGGTTCAGTAAAATTGATATTCTCCAAAGCCAAGCTATCACCAAAACTCATTGAAAGGCAAAGGGCTATAATGTTGAGTTTTTTTAATTGTCTGGGTTCAAGCTGTTACATCCTTAATAATGATTTATTTGATCTGTTATTGTCTCAATGTGATTTTACCATTAGAAAGTATATACATTTAGGTCTAGCTTTACATTTTGAACCTCATGGACAGGGGAAAAAGTCCAGAAACAGAATCGAATAATCAATACAGGGCTCACTGTTTGTTTTCTTTGTCAATAACTTTTAGTAGATACAGTGTGTCTGTCTCAATTGGCAGCAAAACATCCCCTTAGCTAGACTGTATTATACCTGTCTGTGAAAAAGAAAATAATAATGTCTCTTCTCCTTGTTAGTTACAGGCCTCTGAAACCCCTGAACTCTCTATATCTTCCACCCTGCCCCTGCTAATTTTTCCAAAAGTTAATTCTGGCACACTCTTCAGTCTCTCATTTAAGTCAAACAATTGCAATGTTTTTAATGTTTATTGTATGGCTTTCCTTCATATTTGGCAAAAACTCATCCAGCCGTTTTTTTTGTTTGTTTGTTTGAGACAGAGTCTCACTCTGTCACCCAGGCTGGAGTGCAGTGGTGCAATCTCAGTTCACTGCAACCTTTGCCTCCTGGGTTCAAGCAATTCTCCTGCCTCAGCCTCCCGAGCAGCTGGGATTACAGGCACGTGCACCACACCCAGCTAATTTTTTTGTATTTTTAGTTGAAACGGGGTTTCACCATGTTGGCCAGGCTGGTCTCAAACTCCTGGCCTCAAGTGATCCTCCCGCCTCGTCCTCCCAAAGTGCTGGGATTACAGTCGTGAGCCACCATGCCCGGCCGCTCTTTTGGTATTATGTGGAGACAACAGACAAGTAGTGATAACCTTTAGGAATCTGACTTTGCTGGACTCATCTGGATTCTTTTTAATTGAACACGTTCTAGAGATTTTCTTCCATGCATTCTATGCTGCTCTTTTTAAAGCCATCTGTCCTGAGATATTACTTTTTTAGTTTAGGGTGACTACTGATTTTCAGAGTAACTTAGCAATTTCAGTTTATAAACTTGTCTAAGTCACTGTTTTACCAACTAATTTCTATCAACTGACTTCAGAATATTTCTGCAATATAAGGAAAACCCTTTAATATGAAACATGTTTTGGATGTAGGAAATCTCTGCTCATAGGAGGGAAATAATTGAAAATACCTAAACCATACATACTGCTTGTTTTGTGTGTTTCTTTTCTGTATTTTAAAAAATTTATAAGGTATATGTGCAATTTTGTTATATGCATATAACAAAACTGTGTAGTGGCCAAGTCAGAGCTTTTAGGGTATCTGTCACCAAAATAATATATATTACACATGCATTTAGATTCAGCAAAATCAATTCATAGGTATAAAAGGAAGTCCCTTTGTAATAATTTATATTTAAAAATCAGGCTGTTTTGATTGACTAAAAGCTCAATATCAGTCAATAAGTTATGCTTCCTATTAAAAAATTTACTTTGCATGTGTATCCAGACCAAGGAAAACAGCACTGCTCTTTTCACAGTGGTCACACCATCTCTAGAGGGTTGAGTTGTATTCTGACACTTCATTTTAGGACAGACCGTGGCCATTTGGAATGTGTTCAGAGAAGGATGGCTAAGACAATAAAGAAATTTCATTATAGATGTGATGGTTAAATAAAGTATATCATGTGTGGTTGTATTAATCTGCTTTCATACTACTATAAAGAACTGCCCAAGACTGAGTAATTTATAAAGAAAGGAGTTAATTCGACTCACAGTTCCACATGGCTGAGGAGGCCTCGGGAAACTTACAATCATGGCCAAGGTGAAGGGGAAGCAAGGCACCTTCTTCACAAGGCGGCAGGAAGCAGAAGGGCCGAGTGAAGGAGGAAGAGCCCTTTATAAAACCACCAGATCTCATGGGAACTCACCACTATCACAAGAACAGCATGGGGCAAACGAACCCCAGATTCAATTACCTCCACCTGGTCTCTTCCTTGACACGTGGGGATTCTGGGATTACAATTCAAGATGAGATTTGTGTGGGAACACAAAGCCTAACTGTATCAGTGGTGACAAAGTGTTTTGGGATGGGCAGATAGGAAAGGTAGCTATCATAAACAGAATTTAAGTATTTGTTGATTGCAAGATAGTCTTATGAAAGAGAGGTTATTATGCATTGTTCCAAAGACAAACAAGGATCAATGAGCCAAATTTACAGAAAGCAAATTTTCAGCATAATATTCAAAGAAAGAAATTTCTCATCAGTACACTTATCTAAAAATTAAATGGATAATAAAGGGTAAAAGAAATCTTTATACATTAGATACACACACACTGGAGTATATATGAGTTAAATGAGCTGATGTGTAGGATTTGCTTTAAAATAATACAGCAGGCCGGGCGCAGTGGCTCACGCCTGTAATCCCAGCACTTTGGGAGGCCGAGGCGGGCAGATCACGAGGTCAGGAAATCCAGACCGTCCTGGCTAAAACGGTGAAACCCCGTCTCTACTAAAAATACAAAAAAATTAGCAGGGCGTGGGGGCGGGCACCTGTTGTCCCAGCCACTCGGGAGGCTGAGGCAGGAGAATGGCGTGAACCCAGGAGGCGGAGCTTTCAATGAGCCGAGATCGCGCCACTGCACTCCAGCCTGGGGGACAGAGCGAGACTCAGTCTCAAGATAAAATAAAATAAAATAGCAAAGAAAATTTGCATGGGAGATCACAAATACAAGAATAGCAAAACATTGATACTTGCTTAAATTAGATGGTGAGTACTCAAGATTCCATATATAATACTTTCTATGTTTGTATGCAACTGAAAGTTTTACTTTTTAAACAAAAAGAATACATTGCTTCTGGGGGTAGTGAGGTCCCTGCTTTAGATATGTTCACACAAAGACTGGATCTCCACCTGAAAAGAATATTATTGCATAGTATACACAATGTTGGATCTTTATTTTTATTTATTTATTTTGAGACGGAGTCTCACTCTTTTGCCCAAGCCGGACTGCAGTGGCGCTATCTCTGCTCACTGCAAGCTCCACCTCCTGGGTTCACGCCATTCTCCTGCCTCAGCCTTCCGAGTAGCTGGGACTGCAGGTGCCCGCCACCGCGCCCGGCTAATTTTTTGTATTTTTAGTAGAGACGAGGTTTCACTGTGTTAGCCAGGATGGTCTCGATCTCCTGACCTCGTAATCCGCCCGCCTCGGCCTCCCAAAGTGCTCTGATTACAGGCGTGAGCCACCGCACACTGCCAGTGTTGTATCTTTCTAAGATTCTGACTCTGGAAAGGAAGTTAGAAAAACAATGTAAAGTAATTCAGAGGAGATGACCTTTACCCAGCCTTTCATTCCTGACAGCTTTTTGCTGCCTGCTCCTCATGTCTCCTGCTTGCTACCCTCTTTTGCTCTCCGGATCACCTGTCACTTCCCTGGGGATTTGGCTGCTTTCAAGGTCAACTATTGCACAACAGAAACTTACATAGTAAGCCCTGTAGCTAAGAAACCAAAGCTGTCAAATAGCCTTCAACTGATGACTCTCTCAAACTTGAAACATTCACTTCACACATAAAAAATAGATCATTCTTTGAACACAGAATCAAAATATTTCACTTTCCTTAAAGATACTTTATGAAATCTACCACCAGTTAATCATGAGACGTCTCAAATGGAGTGCAAGTACTATCAAATGTGAATACTTGAGAGAATTTTCCTGAGGAAGCTGGTTGAGTACCATGTTAGCCCATCTGTAAGTGACAACCTGAATGTATAAATAGATGAAAGTGATGGTGATTCACCAGGCCAGGCACTGTGGTTCACGCTTATAATCCCAGCACTTTGGGAGGTCAAGTCAGGGGACCACTTGGGGCCAGGAGTTCAAGACCAGCCTGGACAACATGGTAAAACCTCATCTCTACTAAAAATACAAAAATTAGCTGGGTGTGTGGCACACATATGTAGTCCCAGCTACTCAGGAGGCTGAGGCACAAGAATGGCTTGAACCCTGGAGGCGGAGGTTGCGGTGAGCCGAGATTGTGCCACTGCACTCCAGCCTGGGCAGCAAAGCGAGATTCTGTCAAAAAAAAAAAAAAGAAGAAGAAGAAGAAGGAAAGGAAAGAAAAAAAAAGAAAGTGACTCACCAGATATTTCAGTTTCTTAGGCACATGGTAGTATTGTACTTCCTGGTCCTCATGTGGTTGGGTATGGTCACATAATTCTAGCTAATGGATTGTGAGTAAAGCATTTAATTGTCAAGGCAAACCCTCTCTCTAGATGTCTCTTTTCCTGCTGGGCTGGCCATTAGACGTGTTCAAAGAGCAAGTGTTCTATCTGTATAGGACCCTGTACGACAACAATAAGCAAAGCCCCTTTTAGAATCCATGATGGATGAGTAGCCAGAGTGAAAAATAAGCATTCATTGTCTTAAAACACTGACATTTTGTAGGAGGCACTTGTCACTACGTGTGGTAGGCAGAGTTTCCAAATGGGCTCCAGGACCCCTTTTCTGGAGCATAGGCAAGACCTGGGAATATAGTGGGATAGCAGTCCCATGATATGGCAAAAGAAATTTTGCAGATATGATTAAGATCCCTAATCAGCTGGGCTTTGAGTTAAACAAAAGGAAGATTGTCCTAGGTGGGCTTGACCTAATCAAGCGAGCCCTTAAAAGAGACATGCAGCAGAAGCTGAAACTCCTGCTGGCCTAAAAGAAGCAAGCAGCCATGTGATTAATTATCTGTGGAGAAGAGCAGCCTCTAGGAGCTCAGAGCGGTCCCCCACTGACAACTATCAAGAAAACAGGGACCTCAGTCATAAAGCTGCAAGGCAATAATCTCTTCTAACAACCAGTGAGCTTGGAAGAAAAGCTGGAGCCTTAGATGAAATTGCAGGTCATGTTGACACCTTGCTTTTCAGCTTGATGAAACCCTGAGGAGAGGACCCAGTAACCTATACCCAGAATTCTGACCCATAGAAATGGAGAGATAATAAATTTGTTTTGTTTTAAGCTGCTAAGTTTGTGGCAATCTGTCGTCACAATAGAAAACTATTACCACAGTATAACCGAGTCTATCCTAACTGACAAAATGGGCAAATTAATTATGATGTTATGATTATTACAATTCTAGAAATTCTCTGGGAGGCAGAAAACTCAGATTAATGAATAACACATCTGTACACTGAAATACCAGATAGCTATTAAAATAAATGAGGCATTCACAAAACTAAAAATAGAATTCCCATATGATCCAGCAATCTCACCTGAGTATGTATCCAAAGAAATTGAAATCTGTGTCTCAAAGAAATATCTGCACTCTCGTGTTTACTGCAGCACTATTCCCAATAACCAAATATAGAATCAACCTATGTGTCTGTCAACAGAAGAAGGAATAAAGAAAATGTGGTTTAATACTGGTATACACACACACACACACACACACACACACACACACACACACACACAAGAATATTATTCATCCTTAAAAAAAGAAAATCCTGCCATTTGCAACAATATGGATGATCCAGAGGACATTATGTTGTGCTGAGTGAAATAAGCCAGACACAGAAAGACAACTACTTAGATATTTCCACTTATATATGGAATCTAAAGAAGTTGAACTCTTTAGAATCAACTAAATCTGGGCTGGTGGCTGGGCTGGAAATGGGGGGATTTTGGTCTGAGGACATAAAATTTCTTAAGTTTCATACTTTATAAGATAAATAAGTTCTGGAGATCTAATGTACAGCATGGTAACTATAGGTAATAATAACGTATTGTATACTTGAAATTTGCTAAAAAAGTAGATCTTAAGTGTTTTCACCAAACATACAAAACATGTTAACTATATGACATGATAGACATGTTAATTAGCTTAATTGTCGTAATTACTTCACAAGGTATACATATATCAAAACATCAACTGTACACCTTAAATATATATAATTTTTATTTATCAAGTATACCTCAATAAAATTGGAGGAAAATAAAGTAAAATGAATAAGGTAGATATGTATATGCTATTATTAAACAATCTTCAATATATTTGTTCAGTGAAAAAGCACAGATCATGTATACATAATCCAATTTACATTTTAATGGACATATAAATATGCTTACATATCCACAGACAACTTCTGGAACAATAAATAACTATTAACAATAAGCCAGGCACAGTGGCTCACACCTGTGGTGCCAGCTACTCAGGAGGCTGAGGTGGGAGGATTGCTTGAGACCAGGAGTTAGTTCAAGACTGCAGTGAGCTATGGATCAGGCCACTGCACTCCAGCCTGAGTGACAGAGTGAGATTTTTGTCTTTAAAAAAAAAAAAAAAAAAGGCTATATTAAGAAAGAGAGACTGGAAGTCAAGGTCAAAAAAAATAATAAATTCTTTGGCTGGGCGCAGTGGCTCATGCCTATAATCCCAGCACTTTGAGAGGCTAAGGTGGGCGGATCACCTGAGGTCAGGAGTTCAAGACCAGCCTGACCAACATGGAGAAACCCCATGTACACTAAAAATACAAAACTAGCCAGGCATGGTGGCACATGCCTGTAATCCCATCTACTCCGGGGGCTGAGGCAGGAGAATCACTTGAACCTGGGAGGCAGGGGTTGCAGTGAGCTGAGATCGCTCCATTGCATTCCAGCCTGGGCAACAAGAGCAAAACTCTTGCAAAAGAAAAAAAAAAAACCTTTATATTGTATAAACTTTTGTACTGCTTGAATTTTTATCATGTGCACATATTGCTTTTTTAATTAAAAATGGATAGAAATGAAAAACAAAATAATTAACCTACATTTATTGAATATACACCAAATGCAAATCACTGTACTAGGTAGACATTTGCACAGAAAATCATGGAATAGCTGCTTGTTTGGTAATTCATTGGATGAGACAAGTTTGAAAAAATTGATGACAAAACAAAAAATTATAACTTCTGCATTAAACTGAAAAAAAAAATGGTCTGGAAGTTAATGAAGCCTCAAGAGGGTTTCATAAGAAAGAGTATACAGTTACTGCAAGTATGGTAAAAGTTAGGCTTTGAAGATGAGCACTGTCTCTGACTTTGTAGAATCAATGTCACCATATAAAGTGCTTTGTCATCCTTCTAGCCAAGCCTGGAGAGGGTGAGTTAGGCGTTTAGGGAGGCAAACTGGGTTTGTAGCAGCTGTTGCCAGTGCCTTGAGCCCCAACTCTTCGGCCCACCTCTGATTCTAATGGTCTCTGTGCCAGACATTACCATACACCTTGATATCATCACCCACAAAACCTTTGCTTTTCTGCCTAGGAGTCTGTCAAATCTGTGGGAAATCAGCCCTTGGAAGTGCTTGAAAGTTAACATCTCTAAGGACAACTCTCAATCAATGGTGATTGGCGCCAGTGGATAAATACTCTAGCCTCTCTCATGCTTAAGACAGAAAATTCCAGGAGGCATTTGTGAGTTGATCCCACATTGCCTACAGTAGTAGAGAAGTTTCATAATGCAGCCTTTATTAGCCTTTCCTTCTCCCTTACCTCACTCTCCTCCTTCCCTTCCTCCTACTTCCTGAGGTCACTTCCCAAATAAATTATATCCACTCAGATCCTTATTTCCAGCTCTGGTTTTGTGGGTACCCAAACCAAGACAGTGTTTGTTAAAGGAAAAAAAAAAAGCATGCAGTTTTATACTGTTGAATATGCAAAACAATAGAAAATTTCTTTTTGCAACATTATTTCTAGGGGCAGCCTAGATTAATCCTAAATCTCCAATAAAAGTGCTTATGGTGCCTCTCCAGAAGAAAAGATTCTATAGCATAATGGATGGCATTCAATCACAGAGAAAGCCCACTGTGTTAAATGAGGCCTGTTCTAAGAAGGCTAACCTGGAGTTGCTACTGGCAGGAAACATTTCAAATACTCACTAAATTCTCCTTAGTTTCATTTTACCTCGTTATGCTTCATTATGCCCCAAGTAACACAGCAAATAATTCCCTTTGGCCCTTGCTCTTTATTGCCTTCCAAATATGGAACAAAATGCTTACCATTTTCTTCCTCACTGTCTAGTCAAACTTACTCATCACTCCTCCTAATCTTATCTCATTCAGCCATTCTAATTACCCTTCTGTGAATTCCTCCTGGCTGTCTACATGTACCAAGACTTCCGAGCAGAGTCTCATCAGAGAAGTAGGGTATCTAAGACATACTTTATAGAGGCTACAATTTGAATAACAGGAACAAAGAAGAAATAACTCCTTTGTCCACCTTCAAAACTTTTGATACACTGCAAGAGCCTGTAATTTGTAAACCATTTAATCTCACAGGGGGAACCTAGGATTCTCAGAGTCCGCTCCATCAGGGCAACTATTTACAGCAGACTTTCCTCAGATATACTTGTTCACTTTGTGCTACTCCCTTTGATGTAGGTATAATTAAGCTGATTGCAGCCCCAGTTGGCCACTATGTTCAAAGAAAAAACCCAGTAGCAATTCAAAATGATTGCTCTAGCCACGCACTTTTCTCTATTCCTTGCGTACCTTGAGGATGGTTGTATAGCCCCAAGGCACTTGCTGTTAATATTAGGGAAGGTTTGGCCGGGCGCGGTGGCTCACGCCTGTAATCCCAGCACTTTGGGAGGCCGAGGCGGGCGGATCACGAGGTCAAGAGATCGAGACCATCCCGGCTAAAACGGTGAAACCCCGTCTCTACTAAAAATACAAAAAAATTAGCCGGGCGTAGTGGCGGGCGCCTGTAGTCCCAGCTACTTGGGAGGCTGAGGCAGGAGAATGGCGTGAACCCGGGAGGCGGAGCTTGCAGTGAGCCGAGATCCCGCCACTGCACTCCAGCCTGGGCGACAGAGCGAGACTCCGTCTCAAAAAAAAAAAAAAAAAAAATATTAGGGAAGGTTTTATTATTTCGTAAATCTCCATCAGCCCCTTCCTCTCTCTTCGTAGTGGCTTTTTCTAGGACCCCGTCAGTTTCTTTTGACAGTCATCAAGTTGCTTAGGATGCAGAAAAGCCTGCCTGCCATCATTCCCCACATCTGTTCTTGTAACTACATTCTCTTCCACATGTGTTTCCTCTCTGAGGCAGTCGAGTTGCTGAAGCTCAGTGAGCTGAGGTGGATTCTAAATTACGTCCAGACCTATAAGTCAACTAAATAAAGGAAATGTAAGGGGGAAGAAAGTAAATCTTCAATTCTTCTTAGTAATTTTTAACTTCAGAGAAATAAAAGAACACATTGTGATAAGTTTGACATCACTAGATGAAAAAAGGCCATAAGATATATGTTTTCTGAGTATGTGTGATCAGGCTAATGCTTCATGTTAAATATTTCAATCTATATTTGGAAATTTTATGACATTCACTGTGGTAAGTTCTGAGAGCTCATTTGCGGCCAATCTGCACAGCACATGCAAAGGGGTAAGAAATAGAAGTAAAATTTGTGAAGTTGCTTCTCCATACCAGACACATGTCACACATGTTAACTCACTTGATCCTCACTCTAATCTCCTCCCTGTAAATGACCAAACTAAGTATAAGTGACCTGCTCAACTTACTAATTACAACCACAGGCGAAAGAAAGTCTACCCACTTTCCACTTCGTCACACCGCTTCCTGATAACTGTTCTTTGTGGTCACAACCATTATCACAATCAGCATATGTAATTCAGACAGAAGTAGCTACTTCTTCCTAGTTTGTCAATATTAGGAATATGGATTGTTGAATAAGCAAAAAATAAAAAATAACCAGACCTTAAATACTTACCTTCTTTAGAGGAAGGATGGGATCTCATCTTTTGCTTCTTGTTAACTTCCCTGTAATGTTGGGAAACATGTTTCATAAATTCTATTAGGAAGTTGTGGCAGACACTATTCACTGGTTCATGACCCCAACTGTGACTTTAAATCCATTATCCCTAACTGTTTTCATGAGTGGGCACAAAAATCCCTTGTGACCAAGATACATGCCAAAGTTGGCTAACGGATTTCTGAGAAAGCTTTTGATTTTCTGATACAAATGCCACACATTTCCTTCCTTTTCCTTCTTACCTTAAATATGGGTATAATGCTGGAGTCAAAGCAGCTATCTTTTACTCTGAGGGAAAGGCCAAGAAAATCAGAGACGGGCCCTGACACTGTTCCTGAACCTATGGTAGGAAAAATAAACCCTTTTTTCTTTAAGCCACTATAGTTGGCTTTTTGTTATTTATAGCTAAATGCATCACTAACTGATACAAGCACAAAATATTTTACAGTGCAAGTTTAATTCCTTCAAATGAGATAATGTTCTAGCAATAGGTGTCTGTCTGAAATATAATCTAGATTAGTGCTGTCTAATAGGGTTTCTGTGATTTTGGAAATGCTCTGTGTCTATACTGTCTAATATAGTGACCACACATGACGATGGAGCACTTGAAATATGGCTAGTGCAGCTGAGAAACTAGATTTCTGTTCTATTTAATTTTAATTAAATCAACTTTAAATCTAAATAGCCATATGTAGCTAATGGTTGTCATATTGGACAGCACAATCTAGACTTTTGGGTTTTTTGTGTCATGACACATATGTCATGTCTGTGTTTGGAATGAGAGACTGAAAACTTGCATGAATCTACTTGAGGCAAATGAATTATCTTTTATTCAGCCAGAACGCAGAAAACGTAAACAGCAACGACCCAATAATCCCAGTACTTCCAAAAAGTAGCCAAATATTTTAGTAGTTTTTAGACTTCTTTATGCCAGAGACAAATCAGCTAAAAGGTTTCTTGTGATCCTGAACTAAAAGATGGTTAAATCATATGTCTTTTGGATAAAGGAAAATAGTGAATTCTGGGATAAAAACAGCATATTGCCTCATTTTACCAAAAGGGCCTCTCTGAAGTATTGACAAGGCAATAATTACTCTTGAGATACATCAATGAGATAAGTTCATTACATTTCATCCAAGTCATCACCTCTACAAGGACAGTCCTGGGCAAGGCCTACTTTCAGCAAAGAGTGTCTTCTGAGTGTCCTAAACCACTTAATTAGCAAAGTGTCATTCCATATTTAATAGCCTTTCCCCCAATTATATCCACTCCCCACTTTGGCGGTCTATCCTATAACTTTATTCCCTCATTCCCAGAGAATGTTTTAAGGGAGACTTTTAAAAATCAGTATGTTATAGGCTGAATTGTGTACCCCCAAAATTCCTGTGTTGAGGCCCTAAGCACTGGTACCTCAAAATGTAACTGTATTTGGAGATAGAGCCTCTAAAGAAGTAATTAAGGCAAAAGGAGGTTACATGGGTAGGCCTTAATCCACTATGACTGGTTTCCTCATAAGAAGAGATTAGGACACAAACAACACATAGACTGGGGGGTGGGCCATGTGAGGATACAGTGAGAAGTCAGCTTTCTGCAAGCCAAAGAGAGTCTTCAGAAGAAACTAAACTTGCCAACACCTTAGTCTTAGATTTCTAGCCTCCAGAGCTGCAGGGAAATAAATTTCTGTTGTTTAAGCCACCCATTCTATTGTATGGCAGCCCTAGAAAACTAATACACAATATCTACCAACTTTCTCTTGAGCTCTAAAAAGAGGCTCTATTTTGGGAAAATCTAGAGAAAGTTAGATAAGAAAGGAGCACAGTAGCAAGTTCATAGGAGAAATGTGTTTGGTAGTTGGGGTTCTGAGGCCTGCACAATCCAAATGTACAAGTTTGCCTCCTTGGTTAGTGAGTTGCATATAGTGGCAGAGTTATAAGTAGAGAGGGGATGGTGGAAGGGAATTAATCACTTAGAAAAATCAAGAACTTAAGTAGTTGAACAGCAGTTATTTCATAAAATGTTAGGTCTGAAAGAGGCACTAGAAATTATTTGGCTCAACATTCTCTTTGTATAATTATCAAACCGAGGCTCTGAAATAGCAAATAAATAGCAACTTGTCTAAAATCAGCCAGTCAGTGGGAAAACTAAGACTGGGACCAGGTCTCTCGGCCAGTGTTGTATTCTTTACTCCATCCTATTTTGAGGAAACTACATATTCTGTTTTTCTTATTTTTTATTAGAAATACATTGTAAAATGTTTATAAATCATAAATTATATTCAAAAAGTTAGCTCTGTGTCTCAGTCCTCAGTTTTAAAGCCACCATATATCATTTTACATCCTTGGGCAAGCTCTTAACCTGCTGGAGACTCATTTTCTTCATTTGTAAAATAACAGTGATAACGGCTGCCCTTTCTATTGTATTGTCTCCATAATCAAAAAAAGACAATCCATGAAAATGTGCTTTGAATATCGCAAAGCTTTAACACTTTAAGGTAATAGTATTATAGTTTATTGTAGCTGAAGGTTAAAGTCCGTTTTTTTATTACCCATGATAACTTTACTCTTGAACCAAGTTCACTGTATCGAGAGAAATTAAAAAAAAAAAACTTATTTTAAACCAAACTGAATCAGAACTAGTCATCTCATGGGAAATATCCATGAACTTCTGAAGAGGTTTAGATGGAATGGTTCGTTGCATCTGTGTTTATGTTGCTAGCATAAGGTTACTACTGCCTCTGGCAAAAGAAATCAAAATCTGTAGCTCTTTTCCCACCTTGATTACAAGATGACAGATAAAAGTTTTTCTGTCATCTGTCTTTTGGGGCTTCAAATAAACATATATTGTAAATTCAAGCCAAACCCCGAGAAGGCACTTACAAAGTCTAAGAAATCGCCTCCTGGACCCGGTGAAGCCTCAGTAAACCTGTTCTTTCTCACTGAGGAATCTGCCACAGGAGTAAAATGATTTTGGTTCTTCACTAATTTGTAGAAGAATTTTAGTGGAATGTATATCAGGCAATGAACACAGAAGTCACATAGATGTGCTCTATAGAGAAGCCATCTGCTGTATTCTTAATATTTTACTACTACATTTATTCATAGGTATACATTATGCCCTTTACTTATTAAAATCACTAAGAACAATGAAACCTTTTTTTAGTCACAAATAGTAGAAATCGGGATAGCAGTAACAGTATTTTAACAGCTTCTGCTTCCAGTTTATTGATGCATTTTGTTTAACTTTATGATTTTTTTAAAAAATCACAATTCACACACATGAATAGTATATATTATATGAGTTTGAATTACAAATCATGATAGTCAAATGCTTCCCCAGTAAAACATACTCTCTTTCTGGGCAGGGTCCTTTTCTAGCTAATGGGGTGCTAAACTTATAGGGTAGGGTCTAACACATAAATCTCAAAAAGGAATAATTTATTTACCTATTAAACTAATCCATTGGCTAAAAGAATATTAGTAGGAAATTATCCTTTTGAAATTGATGTTCTACTAATGTCTGAATATTTATGTTCTTTCTTGTAAATAAATTAGACAGGAAGCAGCAACAATTAACTGTGTCAGTTAGTAAGTTATTATCTAAGTTTCAAATCCATCCTTCTAAATTCTGTTTTGTTATGCTGGGCTGGGACTCTGCAAACCACATTTCTGCATTGCAGGTTGAATGAACATTAGGCTCTTCTAATTATGAGCACTAGAGAAAGAATGCAAGTCTAGGGGAGGAGAAAGAGACCTGCTGGCTTATGGTTCCTGTGAGCATCACCCCCACTATGCTTCCTCAACCCAGCAGTGGGAGTTCCTTCCTATAGCAGCAGCTGAATCACTTGGCAGTTTTTCCAACACTTACAGAACCAGTCTCATTATTTCTTCCTCCTCCAGAGAGATCAGCACCATCCAGAGAATGCTCCCTCTTCAGAGATCTGGATCCCAAGCCCACAGAGAATCTCCTCTGAATTCAGATCCCAACACCACCAAATAGCACCTCCTCCTCAGACGTCTGAATTTCACCTCGTAAAATCTCTTCCTCTGAATTTCTACATTTTATCCACTCCAAATTCTTCCCTTTGCTTAGTCAGATTTAGGGGTAGTCAGATTTAGAGGGGCACTCAAGCTTTATTGTGCCTCAGAATCACGCAGAGAGGTTATGAATCACATATCCTTGGACACCACTCCAACAGATTCTGATTTAGTGTGTCTTGGGCAGGGCTTGATTTTTACTCCCTATCAAGTTCCCAAACAATGTGGAGGCTGCTGGTCTTGGATTTGGTTCGAATCATGTGTTTAGACTTGAGTGTAGTAGTACTGAGTTCCCAGACAAGAGGAAATAGGATGTAAATCATCCATGGCATGCAGTTAATCAGGGGATCGCCTCTGGATGGTTGTGATGAAGTTCCTTGAAGCCCCAAATGGCTGCTGCACTTGACCATCATAGCAATAGAGATAACTGTAAGGAACAGTGGTGTGGGGTGAATTCTTCTGAGTGCACTAACTTACTTAAGGAAAATTAGAAGCTTAAATCTGTATACTCATTTCAAGTCATGTCAGAGAACTAAAAATCTTCTGGGGCGGTCCTAAAGGAATCTCACTCCTTCTAGCCATAAGACCAATACCACTATAAGGCAAATGTTAAGTATAATTTTGTGATTTGAAGGATTCATGGTCACTCGAAGTGTCTCTTAAAAGTTATGATGCTGGAGGAATGAGGACATCTAGTTGGACTAGGATGAAACTGAGAATTTTGAATACTCATTACTCTGAGTCTCTTTTGTCAGTGGAAAAAGATGACTTTCCTATGTCGAGGGAGAGTAGCTTTCCTTTGCTTAAAAACAATGTAATAACCTCACCTAGGTTAGTTTGCCAAGGCAGGATGTCCATCATCCCTACAATCCTTTATTGCCACTAGACCCATAACTACAGTTAGATATCTGCAAATATATTACCTTACATTTCAAAATAAATTTTGCAGATGTGATTAAGTTAAAGATACTGAGATTTGGAGATTATCCTGGATTAACTAACTGGGCTCAATGTAATCACAAGAATCCTTATAAGAGGGAGGCAGGAGGGTCAGAGTCACAGAGACAGAGAAGGAGATGTGATGATGGAATCAGAAGTCAGTGTGAGAGGCTGAAAGAGAAGGAGAGAAAGAGACTTGAAGACACTATTCTATTGGCTTTGAAGATGGAGGAAAGAGGCCACCAGTTCAGGAATGCGAGTAGCCTAGAAAAGCTGGAAAAAAGCAAGAAAGTGTATTTCCCTCTAAGGCTTCCAGAAAAACCATACTCCTGTCAACATCTTTGACTTTAGGACTTCTGACTTCTAAAACTAAGAGAATAGACTTGTATTGTTTTAAGGCACTAAATTTGTGGTAATTTGTTACAGCAACAATAGAAAAGGAATATACTAGTTCATTACATTGATGATATTATGCTGAATGGGTCCTATGAGAAAAAAGTAACAAGTATATTATATACCTTAATGAAATATATGTGAATCAAAGGTTGGGAGATAAATCCCATAAAAGTTCAGGACCCATCACCTGGGTAAAGTTTCACATAATCCTAAATCCTGATGGATACTGGCTACCTCCATAGTAATTGTTGTACTTATTTGTTATCTATTGGGTATAGAACAATATATTCTATGATTTTGATCTGTTTTGAAGTAATTTCCTTCCTATAGTCTCCTTAATAAAAAATATATTTACCTTCTTGTTAAACACAAGTTGATATTTTATTGTCAGCAGAATTTTACTATTAAGATTATCATGTTTGAACACAAATTCAAGATGTCTTTAAATTTTGAGCTTGGAAACTGTTACCCAAAACAGCAATTAAGCAGGGTTTTTATAATGCTATAGTTTATTTAAAACATAAATTAATATTGTAGACATTAATTGTTTAGATGTAATATTGTCGATATGCTTTCAAACTAAGAAATAAAAGACATGGACATAATGATGGCAACAATAGAAACTGGTATAAACTATAAACTATTTCTATAAACTGCTTCTTTTGCCATGGGCGTCTGCTTCTTATGTTTCTTAAGCTAAACTTTTAACCACTGTGCTATACATTTTGTAAAGAAAGAAAGTACAAATAGTGAGAAACACTGACTCAGAGTCAGGATTATAAGTCTAGATGCAGCTGGACTATATGATTTCTAAGCTCCTTCAGCTCTAAAATTCTATGGCAATGTAAAAGCTTTACTAGTCCAGGATAAAAACAGTTAAGCAGAACAATATTCTTCCAGCCCTACTCCCGATGCTATATGTAGGTTAACTTCTCTCTCAAAATTAAAATCACAGGCTCTTTTAGGACAACTTGATCTACATATCTGACTCATTTTCTTGTAGAGGAAGAAATGGGAAGAAACACAAAGAACATAGTTCTGAGTCCATATGGCCCCATCTGTATGCAAATCACCAAACAGAATGCAAAACACTTAACACCAATAATGGCAGAGTTATTAAAGCAAGTAATTTCCTTTTCCTGACACCATTTTCATGAACCTTGTCAAAACAGCTTCTTGCAAGTCACTTAAGGTCTAAGAGGCTTTTTTCCAAGGAAAGAGCTTCCTATATTAATACAAATCCCTTCAAATTTTGAGCCTGGAAGACCTCAGCAGGAGAATCTCTGGGTGGAAATTATGACTGTACAAGTGATCTTTACTCACTTCTGAAACTTCACTACCTCCTCAGAACTTTCTCACTGTTGTACCTACAACAATTACCATGCCAAGAACCCAAGGATACATCACTCCCCTTCTTAAATTCTGGCCCACATTTCAATTCAAACAAATTTTTTTTGTCTTGTTTATGAACATTAAATGCTATTTTGGGTTTTTTGTTTGTTTGTTTTGTTTTGTTTTTTGAGACAGAGTCTAGCTCTGTCACCCAGGTTGGACTGCAGTGGCACGATCTCGGCTTACTGCAACCTCCACCTCCTGAGTTCAAGCAATTCTCCTGCCTCAGCCTCCCGAGTAGCTGGGTGGCAACTGCCATGACGCCTGGCTAATTTTTGTATTTTTAGTAGAGTTGGGGCTTCACCATGTTGGCCAGGCTGGTCTCTAATTTCTGACCTCAAGTAATCTGCCCACCTCAGCCTCCCAAAGTGCTGGGATTACAGGCGTGAGCCACCATGCCCAGCCCTAAGCGCTATTTTGAAAAGAACTGTTTGTAACAATTAAAAGAATTTTAAAAAAAAGCACAGTCTACTTTATGAAGTGTACATTTCCTCTTCCAAAAAAGCTAATTCATTCATGTAGTCATCATGGGCCTCCTATTCTATTCTACACCTGTTTGAAGCACAAAATTACACTTTTAACTCAGTTTCAGCTCTTCTCTCTATTCCCCTCTTTGTCACCTTTCCTCCTAAATCACAGTGTGGGGTAGAAGTGTTAACCACCTAGAATTTGTGAGGGAATAAGTGATTAACACATATAATATGCAGTGCAACCTTCATATTCTACTAAGAGCTCATCACCACCAATGAAGAAACAGGCACTTAAGTTTCTTCTCCTGTTTTTTCCCCAAGATGGCAGACATATTAGGTCATTCTCACATTGCTATAAAGAAATACTTGACATCCTCTCCAGCATCTGTTGTTTCCTGACTTTTTAATGATTGTCATTCTAACTGGCATGAGATGGTATCTCATTGTGGTTTGATTTGCATTTCTCTGATGACTAGGGATGATGAGCATTTTTTCATGTGTCTGTTGGCTGCATAGATGTCTTCTTTTGAAAAGTGTCTGTTCATATCCTTTGCCCACTTTTTGATGGTTTTTTTTTTCCTTGTAACTTTATTTGAGTTGTCGATTCTGGACTTGGAGAAATAGGAACACTTTTACACTGTTGGTGGGAGTGTAAATTAGTTCATCCATTGTGGAAGACAGTGTGGTGAACTCTCAAGTATCTAGAACTAGAAATACCATTTGACCCAGCAATCCCATACTGGATATATGCCCAAAGGATTATAAATCATGCTAGTATAAAGACACATGCACATGTATGTTTATTGCGGCACTATTCACAATAGCAAAGACTTGCAACCAACCCAAATGTCCATCAGTGATAGACTGGATTAAGAAAACGTGGCAAATATACACCATGGAATACTATGCAACCATTAAAAAGGATGAGTTCATGTCCGTTGCAGGGACATGGATGAAGCTGGAAACCATCATTCTCAGCAAACTATCACAAGGACAGAAAATCAAACACCACATGTTCTCACTCATAGGAGGGAATTGAACAATGAGATCACTTGGACACAGGGTGGGGAACATCACACACCAGGGCCTGTCAGGGAGTGGGGGGCTGGGAGAGGGACAGCATTAGGAGAAATACCTAATGTAAAGGATAAGTTGATGGGTGCAGCAAACCAACATGGCACATGTGTACCTATGTACCAAACCTGCATGTTGTGCACATGTACCCTAGAACTTAAAGTATATATATATATATATATATATATATATATATATATATATATATATAGAAATACTTGAGACTAGGTACTTTATAAAGAAAAGAAGTTTAATTGGCTCACAGTTCTGCAGGCTATACAGAAAATATGATGGTGGCATCTTCTCGGCTTCTGGGGAGGCCTCAGGAAACTTACAATCATGGTGGAAGGCAAAGGGAGAATAGGCACATCACATGGCCAGAACAGGAGCAAGAAAGTGAAGGAAGAGGTGATACACACTTTTAAATGACCAGACCTCACAAGAACTCACTATTGTGAGGACAGTACCATGAAGGATAGAGCTGGGCCATTCATGAGAAATCCACCCCCATGATCCAATCAGCTCCCACCAGGCCCTATCTCCAACACTGAAGATTAGATTTCAATATGAGATTTGGGCAGGGACACACATCCAAACTATATCATTCTACCCCTAGCCCCATGCAAATCTCATGTCTTTCTCACAATGCAACATACAATCCTGCCTTCCCAACAGTCTCCCAAAGTCTTAACTCATTCCAGCATTAACTCAAAAGTGCAACATACAATCCTGCCTTCCCAACAGTCTCCCAAAGTCTTAACTCATTACAGCATTAACTCAAAACTCCACAGTCTCATCTGAGACAAGCCAAGTCCCTTCCACCTATAAGCCTGTTAAAGCAAAAACAAGTTAGTTACTCCTAAGATACAATGGGATTATAGGCATTGGATAAATACTTCCATTTCTACCAAGAAAAAAAAATCAGCCAAAAGAAAAAAGCTACAGGCCCCATGAAAGTTTGAAACCTAGCAGGGCAGTTATTAAAACTTACAGCTCCAAAATTATCTCCTTTGACTCCAGGTCCCAAATCCAGGGCACACTGATGCAAGGGAGTGGGCTTCTAAGGCCTTGAGCAGCTCCACACCTGTGGTTTTGCAGGGTTCAGCCCTCAAGGCTACTCTCATGGAATGGTCTTGGGTGTCTGTGGCTTTTCCAGGAACAGAGTACAAGCTCTCAGTGGATCTACCATTCTGAGGTCTGGAGGATAGTGGCTATTTTCTCACAGCTCCACTAGGCATTGCAGCATTGCCCCAGTGGGGACTCTGTGTGGGGTTCCAACTCCACATTTCCCCCTCCACCCTGCCCTAGTAGAGGCTCTCCATGAGGACTCCACCTCTGCAGCAGGCTTCTGCCTGGATACCCAAGCTTTTCCATACATTCTCTGAAGTCTAGATGGAGGCTCCCAAGCCTCAACTCTTGCATTCTGTGCACTTAAAGGCTGAACACCACATGGAAGCTGCCAAGGCTTACAGCTTGCACCCTCTGAAGCAGCAGCTCGAGCTGTACCTTAGCCCACTTGAGCCAAAGCTGGAGCTGTAATGGCCAGGATACAGTGAGCAATGTCTGAGGCTGTGCAGGGCATTGGGGCCCTGGACCTGGCCCACATAACCATTCTGTCCTCCTAGGCCTCTGGGTCTGTGATGGGAGGGGCTGTCTCTTAGAACTCTGAAATTCCTTTGGGGCCTTTTTCGCATTGTCTTGGCTATCAGCACTTGCCTTCTTTTTAGTTATGCAGATTTCTCTAGCAAGTGATATAGAAACAGCAAGGGCTGGTTTGCAGCAGTCCACTTGAATTGTTCTACTAAAAATAGGCTTTTTTCCTACCAAGTGGCCAGGCTGCAGATTTCCCAAACTTATGCTCTGCTTCTCCTTTAAATATAAATTTCAACTTTAAGTCATTTCTTTCCTCTCTCATCTGAGGTAGGATGTTAGAAGCAGGCACACCACTTGTTGAACACTTTTCTTCTAAGACATAATATGTGTGACCTTTGCTCCAGTTCTTAATAAGTTCCTCATTTCCATATGAGACTCTGGAAGCCTGAACTTTATTGTCCATCTGACTATCAGCATATCACTATCAGTATTTTGGTCACAACCATTTAACCGGTCTCTAGGAAGTTTCAAACTTTTCCCATCATCATGTCTTCTGAGCTCTCCAAACTCTTCCAACTTCTTCCTGTTCCCCAGTTCCAAAGTCACTTTCACATTTTTGGGTATTTATAGCAATGTCCCACTCCTCAATACCAATTTTTCTATATTAGGTCATTTTTGCATTACTATAAAGAAATACCTGAGACTGGGTAATTTCCAAAGAAAAGAGGTTTAATTGCCTCACAGTTCTGCAGGCTGGAAACATGATGCTGACATCTGTGTGGCTTCGGGGGATGCCTCAGGAAATTTACAATCATGGTTGAAGGCAATGGAGGAGCAGGCATGTCACATGGCCAGAGCAGAAGCAAAAGAGGGAGGGGGAAATGCTACACACTTTTAAACAACCAGATCTCATGAGAACTCACTATCACAAGGACAGTACCACAGGGGTGGTGCTAAACCATTCATGAGAAATTCATCCTCATCATCCAGTCACCTCCCACCAGGCCCCACTTTCAACACTGGGGACTACATTTCAGTATAAGATTTGAGCAGGAATACACATCCAAACTATATCAGCCAACTAAAGGCTATTCCAGCATGCATAATCCACTTACAAGAAGAAAGTAGTGTGTAGAGATTCACATTTTGAACTTTTATCCAAGAAGGAACATGGGAGTTCAATGGAAAAGTCTAAGAAAATGTCAGGTCCTGGGAAAGAGACAGGTCTGGCTGAAAACTATGAGTGAATCCCTGGCACAAGAAAGGGTGAGTGTCTTTGAAGTCCACTTCCCCACTGGGGAATCATGCAATCCAGCCTATAGGAGAGCACCTTGATTCTTCCAAACCCTGGATCTAACTTAAGAAGAGGCCAGGAGCTATAGGAGGAGTGGCTCAGGGAAGTATCCTACAGACACTCCAAGACCTGGGCACCTATAGAAGGATATCATTCTTGATCCTATTTTAGAGCAAGCTGTCTGCAATCCTGGGAGCTAAAAGCAGTGGCAGCCATTGGCATCAGAGAGACATAGGCTATAGATTGGAGATCTGGGACTGGAGCAAAAAAGGGTCTCCTCTAGCCAGACCTGAGACGCAAATGTGGTGTGAGCTCCAGCTGCTGGTGTAGGAATTGGGCAGCCCCCCATCACGGGGTTAGAGCAGGGAGAGAGTTGCTGGGGAGGCATGGTTTTGACCCAGGCAGCAAGGTTTACAGCTTGGGACAGTTTTGTGCACTGGAAGCAAATTGCAGCAATAAACTAACTGTCCTGACTGGCTGCCACAGTCAAAACAAGGGAATGAACTCTGCCAGTTATGGGAGTCAGAGGAAAGCAGTACCCACTCCTGCTTGCTAGGCTGTGGTGCTAGGACTGCCCCTCCCTCCCCATGCTAAGACCTTGGTGCAGCAGCAGTTGCTCTGCTCCTTGCCCAGGCATTTCTCTAGCAGTCTGAGGACTGCTCCCTATCCCTGTCAGGGTCAGCACTTGTGCCTGCCACAGGGGGCCCAAGTGCAGGCTGGACCAGTCCAGCTTTTCCCAGCTTCACCCCCCACTCCAAGACAAAGCATGGAGAAAGACCACTGAGCATTTCATGGCCCATCCATCAAGAAAGACCACTGAGCATTTCACAGCCCATTCCATCACCAGGGACACCTGAACACTTCTACAAGTTAACAGAAGTCAGACATATATCCTACTGCTTCCATCACAGCTGGCTCTTACCTGCAAGTGTCATCTACTGATCTGTAGGTCCACCTGCACAGTCTGTTAAAACATCTGCTGGCACAGTATGCAGTGCTTAGGAAAAAGATAAGCTTCTTGTGGCCTCTGCTACCACCACCACCCAGGCCACCCTAGCTAGTCAGGAGGTCATGAGCTGTCTTACTTCCTTGGTACACCATACTATAACCAGCACTTGAGAAAGCCACCACACTAAAGGTATATAGAACCAAGAAATCATACAGGATTTTTGTCACTGAATGCACCAAGAAGCAAAGCCAAATGGCCCTACTCAAAATACATCACAGTCCCATCCTCAAGAAAAAAAGGTCCTTCCCCAATGAAAGTAAATTTAAAATAAGAAGCAGCAACAGTTTTTCCAGATGCACAGAAATCTAAATAAAGATACACAAAGCATGGCATGGTATTATGACAGCCACAAAGGAATAAAGTAATTCTCTAGCAATGAATCCTAACCAAAAAGAAATCCTCAAAATGCCATATAAGGAATTCAGAATATTGATTTTAAGGCAGGGTGTAGTGGCTCACACCTGTAATCCTAGTATTTAGGGAAGCCAAGGCAGGAGGATTGCTTGAGGCCATAAGTTCAAGGCCAGGCACAGTAATAGAGAGACCCTGTCTTTACAAAAAAAAAAAAAAATTAATTAGCCAGTCATGATGGTGCATGCCTGTAGGCCTAGCTCCTCAGGAGGCTGAAGTGGGAATATTGCTTGAGCCCAGGTGTTTGAGATTGCAGTGAGCTATAATCATGCCAATGCACTCTAGCCTTGGTAATAGAGTGAGACTCTGTCTCTAAAAACCAATACAGAGAAATTTTTTTAAAAAATGAATTCAGAATATGAATGAAAAATTTGCAAAGGAGATAGATATCTTTCCGTGTAAAGACAGAACATATAAAAATGAAAAATTAATTGAAGGAATTACAAAATATATTGAAAGCTTCAACAAAAGACTAGACCAAGCAAAAGAAAAAAATCTTATAACTTGAAAATAGGTCATTTGAGTTAACCCTGTCAGATAAAAATAAAGAAAATATAATTTTAAAAGAATAAGGCTTTCAAGATATATAGGAATACATAAAGGGACCAACTTTAGTAATCTAAACATTATTCCTGAGGAGGAGGAAAAAGAAAAAAGTTCAGAAAACATATTTAAGAAAATAATCAGCTGGGCGCAGTGGCTCACGCCTGTAATCCCAGCACTTTGGGAGGCCGAGACGGGTGAATCACATGGTTAGGAGGTCAAGACCATCCTGGCTAACACGGTGAAACCCCGTCTCTACTAAAAATACAAAAAAATTGGCCGGGCGTGGTGGTGGGTACCTGTAATCCCAGCTACTCAGGAGGCTGAGGCATGAGAATGGTGTGAACCCAGGAGGCGGAGCTTGCAGTGAGCTGAGATCGTGCCACTGCACTCCAGCCTAGGCAACAGAGCAAGACTCCATCTCAAAAAAAAAAAAGAATAAAATAAAGTAATCAACAAAAACTTTCCTAGCCTAGGAAGAAATTTAGACATTCAAATAGAGGAGGCTCAGCAATCCCCAGAAAATAAATTGCAAAATTGACTTCACCATGCCATATGGTCATTAGACTGTCTAAAGACAATATGAAGGAAAGCATTCTAAAGTCAGTAGGAAAGAAGCATTTAGTCACCTATAAAGGAAACCCCAAAAGAAGACTTCTCAGCAGAAACTTCACAAGCCAGAAAAGAATGGCGTGGGGTTTTCAAAGTGCTGAAACAAACAAACAACAACAACTAAAAAACCTGTAAATCAAGAATTTTATGTTCATCTAGATTAAGCTTTATAAATGAAGGACAAATAAAATCTTTCCCAGACAAGCAAACATTGAGATAATTCATCACCACTAGTCCAGTCCTACAAGAAATGCTCAAAGGAGTCCTAAACATGGAAAAGAAAGGTTGATATGTGCTATAATAAAAACACACAAAAATATAAAACTCAAAGTCGTATAAAACAATCACACAAAGGAGGAAGACAGAGGAATCAACTGGCAACATGAGAAAATTTTACCAAGGCACAAAGAAAAACAGAGAAAGAATTTAGAAAACAATTAGATAACAAGAATATGACAGCAAAAACAAAACTCACATATCAATATTAACCTTGAATGTAAATGGATTACATGCTTCATTTAAAAGATATATATTGACAGAATGAATTTTAAAAACATGAGCCAATAATATGCCACTTACAAGAAACTCACCTTATCTCTAGAGAGACATTTAGACTAAAAATAAAAAGACATTCTATGCAAACAGAAACCACAAGCAAGCAGCAGAGGTATACTTATGTCAGACAAAACAGACTTTAGATCACAAACAGTAAAAAAAAAATGATAAAGAAGTGTATTATATAATGATAAATGGATCAATTCAACAAGTAGATATAATAATACTAAATATATATGCACCCAACAGCTGGAGCACCCAGATTCATAAAACAAATATTACTAGACCTAATGAAAGCGATAGCTAGTAATACAATAATATTAAGGAACATCAACACCCCACTCACTGCACTAGACACTTTACTGAGACAGAAAATCAATGAAGAAACACTGGATTAAATTGGACTTTTGACCAAATAGACCTGACAGCCACTTACAGAACATGCTACCCAACAACTGCAGAATATACATTCTTTTCATCAGCCCATAGAATATTCTCCAAGATAGACAATATCTTAGGGCACAAAACAAGTCTCAAGAAATTTCTAAATATTGAAATCATATCGTCTCAAGAAATTTCTAAATATTGAAATCATATTCTAAATATCAAATCATATCAGACTATAGTGGAATAGAAGTATCAATACCAACAGGAACTCCAGAAACTACACAAATATATAGAAATAAACCAATATGCTCTTAAATAACCATTAGGTCAATAAAGAAATTAAGATGAAAATTTTTAAAATTTTTGAAATAAATGAAAATAGAAACACAATATACCAAAACCTTTGGGATGCAGCAAAAGTAGTGCTAAAGGCAGGTTTATAGTGTTAAATGCCTACATCAAAAAATAGAAGGTAGAATCTTCATTCCGAAGGCTACAGTGTATAAACATTATATAAATTTGTATGCCTTTTATTCTATTAAACAATCTGACTCATGTCGTTGATTTTTCAGTGAACCTTCAGAAGACCAAAAGGAAAGCTCTCTGTTGGCTCCCACAGTTACGGCACAGCAAGCAGGGTACCTCCAAAGCCATTCTGATCTTATGAAGGCCACAGTGAAGAGATCCCAGGATCCTAACAAGCCAGTAAAAGTTAAGAACTTATAAATCAGGCTCCTAGACTTACTCTGTGAAATCTGGTTGAATGGATGGTAAAAATGACTGTTTTGTCTCAAGGTTTTGATTAAAGGGAAAAAAGGATTTGTGTGACTAGTTTTGGGGTGTAGTGACTCTAGTGTGCTTTTGGTACTTTGTGGTATAAATATTCATATTGTTTGATTCCTTTCACTTCAGAAATAGCCTTTTTGTTGCTGTTTTCCTTGGCTTTGTCTTTCTGTGGTGTTCTGCATAAAGAGGGGAACCATACGCTAATACCCGGTCCTAGAATCCCTACAAGCCCACTGTTTGAGCTAGCCCTGTAAACTATTCAGTTTTAGTATTCTGACTACACCAGTGTCTGTTAAGACAAACATTGCTGTGGGCTCCTAAAATAAAAACCAGGCGAAAGTCTCCTCTCACCATATTTTATGTCCTTGAGAGCTTGACTGGTGACTAAGTGTGGATATTCTTTTTCTTGGTCTCTGCCATCCAGAGGGCATGATATTTCAGGTAACATCATGCAGATAGTCTGAAAAGATTGGGAGTCCAAAACACATTTTTCATACTGAACCAGCATATATCTCATATATATTGATTGATGTCTTATGTCTTCCTAAAACATATAAAACCAAGCTGTAACCCAACTATCTTAGGTACATGTTCTCAGGACCTTTTGAGACTGTGCCTCAGGCCATGGTCGCTTACACATGGCTCAGAGTAAATCTCTCCAAAAATATTACAGAGTTTGGCTTTTTCATCCACATCATAAATTAAATAACTAGCCCCAATACTTTTCAAGTTCATGAGACTTTAATAATCTTGGTAAATAAAACTAGTTTCAAAATTCTCTGTAGTAATTTAAAATATTAAGATCATGTTATGTTAAACTAAGTAATCCTAGGTTTTTCTCTGAAAATTAGAGGTTATTAAGAGTTAAAATAGTTGTATATGTAATTAAAACTACTAAATATAAGAGAACCAATTGATGTACAATGTATATAAGTAAATGTGTTTTTGGTAAAAAAATAAAATTATAAAACATATTGGAATGTGTGTTTGGTGAAAAGGAAACTAAACGCTCCTATTCAACATAGTACAAGAAGTCCTAGCCAAAGCAATCAGGCAAGAGAAAGAAACTTAAGACATCTAAATAGGAAAAGAGGAAAAATTATCTTTGTTTGCTGATGACATGGTCACACACTTAAAAAACCCTAAAGATTCCTTCAAAGGAATTCTAGACCTGATAAATGACTTTAGTAAAGTTTCAAGATACAAAATTAATGCACAAAAATTAGTTGCATTTCTCAACAATGCTCAAACTGAGAACCAAATCAAGAATTCAATCCCATTTACAATTGCCACACACATAAAATATCTAGCAGTAAATTTAACCAAGGCAGTGGAAGACCTCTAAAAGGAGCACTATAAAACACCAATGAAAGAAATTATAGATGATACAAACAAATGAAAAAATATCCCATTCTCCTGGATTGGAAGAATTAATATCATTAAAATAACTACACTGCCCAAAGCAAGCTACATATTCAACGTAATTCTTATCAAATTACCAATATCATTTTTCAAAGAATTAGAAAAAACAATTCTAAAATTCATATGGAACCAAAAAAAAAAAAGCCTGAATAGCCAAAGAAATCTAAAACAAAAAAGAAAAAAGCTTGAAGCATCACAGTATCCAACTTCAAACTACACCACACAGTTATAGTAGCCAAAGCAGCATTATACTTGTACAGAAATTGACCCATAAACCAATGGAACAGAGTAGAGGATCCAGAAATACAGCCAGACATCTACAACCAACTGGTCTTCAACAAAGTCAACAAAAATAAACAGGAGGAAAGGATATCCTATTCAATAAATGGTGCTAAGAAAACTAGCTAGCCATATGCAGAAGAATGGAATTGGACACCTACCTCTCACCATATATAAAAATTAACTCAAGATCAACTAAAGACTCAATCCATGTATGACCTCAAACTATAAAAATCCTAGAAGAAAACCTAGGAAAATCTCTTCTGGACGTTGGCCTAGGCAAAGAATTTATGACTAAGACCTCAAAAGCAAATGCAACAAAAACAAAAATAGACAAATGGGACTTCATTAAACTAAAGAGTTTCTACACAGCAAAAGAAATGATCAATGAAGTAAACAGACAACCTATGGAATGGGAGAAAATATTTGCAACCTATGCATCTGGCAAAGGACTAATATCCAGAATCTATAAACACTTAAATAAATCAACAAGATAAAAACAAATAATCCCATTAAAAAGTGAGCAAAGGACATGAACAGACACTTTTCAAAGGAAGGCATACAAGCAGCCAAGAAACATTTTTAAAAATGCTAAATATCACTATCAACAGAGAGATGCAAATTAAAACTGTAATGAGATACCATCTTCCACCAGTCAGAATGGCTTCCTGCTTTCTGAATCCTCCCTGTTACACTGCACAGATGTAGCCAAAGGTGCCAGTTTCTCTCAAATTTGGACTAAAACACTCATCATAGTTACAAATCTTTCCTCCAATCTGGTGCTGGGAATGATATGCACCATCAATCTCCTCTTCTCTCTAGGGCTTGCCAAAGATCAAAAAAAAAAAAACTTATAACTGTAAATTACTCTCAGTGTTGACACATTCTGAAACTGTCTGTGTGCATCAGGAAAGAAGGAAAGCTCAGTTGCTTCTAAGAAAAAAAAATGCATGTTTTTCATGCTCAGGGCCTTCCTCCTGAAAATCAAATTGGAAAACACCATTTCGAAAGGCACATTCAAAGACGGGAACAATCTGTGAAAGGAAAAATAGCTACTAGAAGCAAGTAAAAATTCTATGCTTTGGATCTTTGAAAACAAGATAAAAGCACTTTTCAAAGCAACAAAATCTGAGGAACTCAGAAAAAATTGAAGTCAGTTATGATTCTGATTTGTCAACACTCTTCTTATAAGAGGAAGCTGGAGTTAATTTTTTAAATATTGCCTTTGCCCATTATATAGGAAGAAGGGTTTGAGTTTTTTCTTCCGTAATGTGCCTATAGAAGCTATATTGCAAGCAAGATCCCATTGTCTATAGAATAAAGGCCAAAATCCTTGGTACAGTTTACAAAGCTCTTCATGATCTGGCCATTGCCCAGCTTTCTGGCCATATCTACCCCCATAACCCCATATGCATCTTTTGCTCCAGCTGTACTGCATATTAGCAATTTTTCAGATTTTCCATATTCAGGTCTCTGCACATATGTTTCTTGCTATTTTTGGAATGCTCACCTCTCCCACTCCACTGTCTAGCTAACATCATTTTTCCTCCAAAACTCACTGTAAGTGTCATCTACTAGAAATTTTCCCTGAATCCTATAGGATGAAGCAAGTCTACCTCTCTTCTTAATGTTTTCTGTACTGTCTATGTTAATGCATACACTCAGTAAACTTAAAGCCAGAAAGTCACCTAATGGCACAGTGATTTTAATCTATTATCCCTGAATGTACTGAATAGACTGAATCTACAGAAGGATTTTTTAAAACTACCTACAGCAGGTGTTTGGCAAATATGAATATCCAAGAATAGTTTTATAAAGAACATATAATACCAAGAACGTTAAAAATTAATTATTATATATTTTAAATTATACTGAGGTTTATATTCTTCCATATGTCTTTGAATCAATTCATTTTATTTATTTATAATCATTGATTTATAAGTACACAGCAACTTCATACCCTTGAAAATATTATTTTCTAGTTTAAACTCTTATAGCTTACAGAAAATATAACCCAACATTTAAATGCATCTAGTAGTGAATCAAATTTATTAAAGCAATCATAATCTTATGTATGCTTGTACACTGTACTTTGTTAAATAAGGCATCTCTTGAACAATCAATTACATGTGGATCATCACAAAAAGCTGCTGGAATGGTGGGAGTTCATTAAAATGAACAAAATTCCTGTCTGAAATGTGTTTTAAGCAGGGGTTTAGAAGATAGAGGGAATATGCTTTTCTTACGGACAGGAGTGATAAATACTGCAAAATAGTGTATCAGTATGATTATTTGCAAGTAAATATTGGTGAATTGTATATGGCAGTGAATTCTGCTTTGCTGAAGAAATATAAATAATTTTGTTAATTTCTACTATATCATTTCTACTACACAGTAGAAATTATAAACTAGTAGATAGTAGTAGAGGAATACAAATTTAGGGTTGGAGGGAATAGTATGTGAGCTTGGAGTGGAAGGTGGGGATGAGACAGAGATCCTAGGTGACAATCGAAGAAGTTTTGGGGATAAGAGTAAAGCTCTATTTGATCGAATTAAGCAATTGGAAGTCACCTCAGCTTCTAAGAAAAAAAATGATACTATCAAAAGAAAGATTATTATAACTATGAGAAGCATGAAGGATAAGGAGGTAGGTAGGCAAGAGATTGTTTAGGAACAAAGCTTTGGAGGAGGAGGGAAGAAGAAAGAGAAGATCTGTGAAATATTTCCATAAGAAATATTCCATGGAATAATCAAGGATTATTCCATGGTTGCATTCAGGAGGCTCAGAATTCTAGTGACCAGCAACAATAAAAATGGTTAAAGGTTTGAAGAGGACCCAAGATGTAGGGCAGATTCAATATTGAAACATGTCAATCTTTCTTAGAATATAATATAAATTTATTTTAGATCAAATAAAATCCCAAAGGAAATTTGGAAAGGGGGTGTAGGGGAGCAGAGTTGATAAGACAAAGTGGTTCTAATAGTCAGCTGGAATAATAAATTGGCAAAAAATTGTCAACAACACAACTTTAAGGAATAATGAGAGGAAAGTTTATTTTCTAACTATTAGAGGTTTTTATAATGTTAAAACAATAAGTTAAAAAAGTAATGTGATATCTGTTACAAGAATTGGTATATATAATTATATAAAAGAATAGAAAGCCTAGAAGAATCAACTGTATATGTAAAAATACAGTGTTCTATTAAGTGGTATTTCAAACAAATAGAGAGAAATAAAGTATTCAGTAACTAGGGCTAGAATAATTGGTTAACTATTTTAAAATAAAAAGATTTCTCCTTCATATCATATGCCAAAATAAATGTGTTAGATTAAAAGGCTAAATGTAAAACACACACACACACTCAGACACACACATGAACAAAAGAAAATATAGGTAAAATTATTTTTGTTTTAAAAAGAGAGACAACAAAACTGACAAACTTCTAGCTAGACTGACCAAAAAGAGAGGATTCAAATTACAAAAATTAGAACAGAAAGAGGGAACATTACTACCAACCTATAAAAATAAAAAGGATTATAAAGGAATTATATGAACAATTGTATGCCAATAAATTAGATTAAATGTTCAGTTTCCTAGAAAGACACAAATTATCTAAACTGACTCAAGAAAAAAATAGACAATCAGAATAGATCTATAATAAATAAAAAGATGGAATTAGTAATCAAATTGTTACCTACAAATAAAAACTCAGATCCAGATTGCTTTACTGATGAACTCTAACAAGCATTTAAAGAAGAATAAATACAAATTCTCACAAACTCTCCCACCCAAAAATAAAAAAGGGAGACTACTTCCTAACACATTCTATAAGGCCAGTCATCTGGTCATCTAATAGAAGTAGAAAAAGCATTTGATAAAATCCAACACTCTTCTAATGATAGAAACATTTAACAAGCTATAAATAGAAGGAAACTTCTGCAACCTGGTATATTAGAAAATCCACAATTAACATACTTAATGGTGAAAGGCGGATTGCATTCCCCTTAAGATTAAGAACAAAATAAGGATGCTCGTTCTCACTTCTTCTATTTAACATTATACTAGGGGTTCTAGAAATGGCAATTAGGCAAGCAAAAGAAATAGATGTTATCCAGGTTGGAAAGGAAGAAGTAAAACTGTCTGTATTCATAGGTGATTTAATCTGGCATATAGAAAATCCTAAGGAATCTACAAAAAAAAAAAGAAAGATAAAAACTGTGTATTAGAACTAGCTAATGAGTTCAGCAAGGTGGCAAGATATAAGACCAATATACAAAAATCAATCATATTTCTATACACTTGGAATTAATAACCTAACAATTAAGAAAATAACCCCATGACACAAAAAAGAACAAAATGCTTAGAAATAAATTTAACAAAAGATGTGCCAAATTTATACTGTGAAATCTCCAAAATGTTGTTGAAAGAAATTAAGGAAGATCTAAATTAATAGAAAATCATCTCATGTTCATAAATCAGAAATTTAATACTTTTAAGATGGCAGCGCTCCCCAAATTGATCTACAGCTTCAATGAATCCCTATTAAATTGATTCAACTGACTTCTTTGTAGGAATTGACAAGTTGATTCTAATATTCATATGGAATTTTAAGGGATCCAAAATAGCCAGAACAATCTTGGAAAAGCTAAAGTGGGAGGACTCACATTTCCCAATTTCAAAACTTAGTAAAAAGCTACAATAATCATGAATAAGAGTGTGGTACTGACATAAGGATAGACATATAGATCAATTGAATCAAATTCAAAGCCCGAAAATAAACTCAAGTGTCTATGGTCAATTGATTTTCCGCTAGGGTGCCATGATCATTCAACAGGGAAAGAACAGTCTTTTAAACTAATGGTGCTGGGACAAGTGGATAGGTATCTACTTGTGAAAGAATGAAGTTGAATCCTTACCTCACACCTCTTATACCAATTAACTAAAAATGCATCAAAGAAACAAAATGTAAGACCTAAAACTATAAAACCATTTTTATCATTTTATTATTTATTAAGAACTTTGATTAGTTTACATTAAGTGCAATGTTTGCATTAAGCTTTTTGGACAATATTCTTTTTTGGTTTTTAAATATTTTATTTTTTTATTTCAATAGGTTTTTGGGGAACAGGTGGTGTTTGGCTACATGAATAAGTTCCTTAGTGGTGATTTCTGAGATTTGGGTGCACCCATCACTTAGGCAGTGTTCACTGTACCCAATGTGTAGTCTTTTATCCCTCGCCACCCTCCACCCTTTCCTCTGAGTCCCCAAAGTTTAATGTATCATTCTTACACCTTTATGTCTCATAGCTTAGCTCCCACATAAGAGTGGAAACATACAATGTTTGGTTTTCCATTCTTGAGTTACTTCACTTAGAATAATTGTCTCCAATTCCATCCAGGTTGCTGCAAATGCCATTATTTCATTCCTTTGATGGTTGAGTAGTATTCCATGGCATACATATATACCACATTTTCATGGTATACATATATACCACATTTTCTTTATCTACTCATTGATTGATGGGTATTTGTGCTGGTTCCATATTTTGCAATTACAAATTTTGCTGCTATAAACATGCATGTGCAAGTATCTTTTTACTATAATAACTTATTTTCCTCTGGGTAAATCCCTAGTAGTGAGATTGATGGATCAAACAGTAGATCTCCTTTTAGTTATTTAACATAGTGGTTGTACTAGTTTACATTCCCACCAACAGTGTAAAAGTGTTCCCTTTTTACTGCATCCATACCAACATCTATTATTTTCTGATTTTTTTATTATGGCCATTTTGTAGGAGTGAGGTGGTATTGCATTGTAGTTTTGATTTGCATTTCCCTGATAGTGATGTTGAGCATTTTTTCATATGCTTGTTGGCCACTTGTATATCTTCTTTTGAGAATTGTCTACTTAGGTCCTTAGCCCACTTTTTGACTGAATTGTTTTTTTCTTGATGATTTGTTTGAGTTATTTGTAGATTCTGGATGTCAGTCCTTTGTCAGATACATAGATTGTGAAGATTTTCTCCCACTTTGTGGATTGTCTGTTAACTCTGCTGATTATTTCTTTTGCTGTACAGAAGCTTTTTAATTTAATTAAGACCCACCTATTTATCTTTGTTTTTGTTGCCTTTGCTTTTGGGTTCTTGGTCATGAAGTCTTTGCCTAAGCTAATGTCTAGAAGGGTTTTCCAATGTTATCTTCTAAAATCTTTATGGTTTCAGGTCTTAGATTTAAGTCTTTGATCCATCTTGAGTTAATTTTTGTATAAAATGAGAGATGAGAATCCAGTTTCATTCCTTTACCTGTGGCTAGCCAATTATCCCAGCACAATTTGTTGAATAGGGTGCCCTTTCTCCACTTTGTTTTTGTTTACTTTCTCAAAGATCAGTTGGCTGTAAGTATTTGGCTTTATTTCTGGGTTCTCTATTCTGTTCCATTGGTCTATGTGTCTATTCTTAAACTAGTACCATGCTGTTTTGATGACTATAGCCTTATAGTTTAGTTTGAAGTCCAGTAATGTAATGCCTTCAGGTTTGTTCTTTTTGCTTAGCCTTGCTTTGGCTATGTGGGCTCTTTTATGGTTCCATATGTTTTTTCTAGTTCTGTGAAGAATGATGGTGGTATTTTTATGGGAATTGCATTGAATTTGTAGATTGCTTTTGGCAGTATGGTCATTTTCACAATATTAATTCTACCTATCCATGAGCATGGGATGCGTTTCTATTTGTTGGTGTCATCTATAATTTCTTTCAGCAGTGTTCTATAATTTTCCTTGTAGAGGTCTTTCACGTTCTTGGTTAGATATATATATATATATATATCTTGCAGCTATTGTGAAAGGGGTTATTGATTTTATTCTCGGCTTGGTCGGTATTGGTGTATAACAGAGCCACAGATTTGTGTACATTAATTTTGTATCCTGAAACTTTGCTGAATTCATTTACTAGTTGTAGGAGCTTTCTGGGGGAGTCTTTAGGGTTTTTTAGGTATACTCTCATATCATCAGCAAACAGCAACAGTTTGACTTTTTTGGCTGCCCTTTATTTCTTTCTCTTGTCTGATGTTCTGGCTAGGACTTCCAGTACTATGTTGAATAGAAGTGGTGAAAGTGGGCATCCTTGTATTGTTCCAGTTCTCAGGGGGAATGCCTTCAACTTTTCCTCATTCAGTTGGCTGTGGGTTTGTCATAGATGGCTATAATTACTTTAAGGTATGTCCCTTCTATGCCAGTTTTGCTAAGGGTTTTAATCATAAAGGGATGCTGGGTTTTGTCAAATGCTTTTTCTGCATCTATTGAGATGATCATGTGATTTTTGTTTTTGATTCTCTTTATGTGGTGTATCACATTTACTGACTTACATATGTTAAACCATCCCTGCATCCCTGGTATGAAACCCACTTGATCATGGTGTTTTGCCTTTTTGAAATGTTGTTGGATTTGGTTCACTAGTATTTTATTGAGGACTTTTGCATCTATTGGTCTCCAATTTTCTATTTTTGTTATATCTTTCCCTGGTTTTGGTATTAAAGTGATACTGGCTTCATGGAAAAATTTAAGGAGGAGTCCCTCTTTATCTTTTGGAATAGTGTTAATAGAATTGGTACCAATTCTTCTTTGAATGTCTGATAGAATTTAGCTGTGAATCCATCTGGTCCTGGATTTTTTTTGGTTGGCATTTTTTTTAATTACCATTTCAATCTTGCTGCTTGTTATTGGTCAGTTCAGACATTCTATATCTTCCTAGGAGGGTTGTATATCTCCAGGAATTTATTCATCTCTGCTAGGTTTTCTAGTTAATGCACATAAAGGTGTTCATAGCTTATATTTCTGTGGTATCAGTTGCAATATATCCCATTTTGTTTCTAACTGAGCTTATTTGGAACTTTTCTTTTCTTGGTTTATCTCACTAAATGTCTATCAATTTTATTTATCTTTTTAAATAATCAGCTTTTTGTTTCATTTATCCTTTGTAGTTTCTTGTTGTTTCAATTTCATTTAGGTCTACTCTGATCTTTGTTATTTCTTCTCTTCTGCTGGGATTGGGTTTGGATTGTGTTGTTTCTCCAGTTCCATGGACTGTGACATTAGAATGTCTACTTGTACTCTTTCAAACTTTTTGATGTAGGCATTTAATGCTATGAACTTTCCTCTTAGCACCACTTTTGCTGTATCCTAGATGTTTTGATAGGTTATGTCACTATTATCTTTCAGTTCAAAGAATTTTCTAATTTCCATCTTGATTTCATTGTTGACCCAAAAATGATTCAGGAGCAGGTTATTTAATTTCCATGTATTTGCATGGCTTTGAGGGCTCCTTCTGGAGTTGATTTCCAATTTTATTCCACTGTGGTCTGAGAGAGTACTTGATATAATTTTGATTTTCTTAAATTTACTGAGACTTGTTTTGTGGCCTATCATATGGTCTATCTTGGAGAATGTTACATGTGCTGATGAATAAAATGTATATTCTGAAGTTATTGGGGAGAATGCTCTGTAAATATCTGTTAAGTCCATTTGTTGTAGAGTATATTTTAAGTCCATTGTTTCTTTGTTTAATTTCTTAGTGACCTGTCTAGTGCTGTCTGTGGAGTATTGAAGTTCCCAACTATTGTTTCGTTGCTGTCTATCTCATTTCTTAGTCTAGTAGTAATTGGTTTATAAATTTGGGAGCTCCAGTGTTAGCTGCATATATATTTAGAATTGTGATATATTCCTGTTGGACTAGTATTTTTATCATTATATAAGATCCCTTTTTGTCTCTTTTAACTGCTGTTGCTTTAAAGTTTGTTTTGTCTGATAGAAGAATAGCTACTTCTGCTCACTTTTGGTGTCCATTTGCATGGAATATCTTTTCCCACCCCTTTACCTTAAGTTTATGTGAGTCGCTATGTGTTATGTGCGAGGTGAGTCTCCTGAAGACAGCAGAAACTTGATTGGTGAATTCCGTTTTTTTTTTTGTTTTTGTTTTTTGTTTTTTTGTTTTTTGTTTTTGAGATGGAGTTTTGCTCTTGTTGCCCAGGCTGGAGTGCAATGGTGTGACTTTGGCTCACTGCAACCTCCTCTTCCCTGGTTGAAGCAATTCTCCTGCTTCAGCCTCCCACGTTGCTGGGATTACAGGCATGAGCCACTATGCTTGGCCAATTTTGTATTTTTAGTAGAGACAGGGTTTCCCATGTTGGCCATGCTGCTTTCAAACCCCTGACCTCAGGTGATCCACCCACCTCAGCCTCAAAGTGTTGGGATTACAGGTGTGAGCCACCATGCCTGGCCAATTGGTAAATCCTTATCCATTCTGCCATTCTGTATCTTTTAAGTAGAGCATTTAGGCCATTTACATTCGATGTTAGTATTGAGATGTTAAGTACTCTTCTATTCATCATGTTGTTTGTTGCCTGAATACCTTGTTGTTGTTGTTTTTATTGTGTTATTGTTATATAGGTCCTGTGAGATTTATGCTTTAAGGAGTTCTATTTTGGTGTATTTTGAAGATTTGTTTCAAGGTTTAGAGCTCCCTTTAGCAGTTCTTGTAGTGCTGGCTTAGTAGTGGTGAATTCTGTCCGCATTTATTTGTCTGGAAATGACTGTATCTTTCCTTCATTTATGAAGCTTAGTTTCACTGGGTACAAAATTCTTGGCCAATAATTGTTTTGTTTAAGGAAGCTAAAAATAGTATCCCAATCCCCTCTGGCTTGTAGAGCTCCTGCTGAGAAATCTGCTGTTAATCTGATAGGTTTTCCTTTATAAGTTAACTAGTGCTTTTGCCTCACAGCTCTTATTTCCTTCATCTTGACTTCAGATAACCTGACGACAATGTGCCTAGGCAATGATCTTTTTGCGATGAATTTCCCAGGTGTTCTTTGAGTTTCTTGTATTTGATTGTCTAGATCTCTATCAAGGCCAGGGAAGTTTTCCTCAATTATTCTCTCAAATATGTTTTCCAAACTTTTAGATTTCTTTCTTCCTCAGGAACACCTGTTATTCTTAGGTTTGAATGTTTAACATAATCCCAAACTTCTTGGAGGCTTTGTTCATTTTTTTAAATTCTCTTTGTCTTTGATGGATTAATTCAAAAGCCTTGCTTTGACCTCTGAGGTTCTTCTGCTTGTTCAATTCTATGCTGAGACTTTGCAGTGCATTTTGCATTTCTGCATTTCTGCATTTCTCTAAGTGTGTTCTTGATTTCCAAAAGTTGTCTTCTTTTTTATTCATACTGTCTATTTCACTGAAGAATTTTCCTTTCATATCCTGTATTGTTTTTTATTTCTTTAAGTTGGACTTTACCTTTCTCTGATGCCTCCTTGATTAGCTTAATAATCTACCCTCTGAATTCTTTTTCTGGCAATTCAGAGATTTTTGTCTTAGTTTAGATTCATTACTGGTGAGCTGATATGATCTCTTGAGGGTGTTCAGTAACTTTGTTTTGTCATGTTACCAAAATTGTTTTTCTGGTTCACTCTCATTTGGGTAGACTATGTCAGAGGAAAGATCTGGGACTCAAGGGCTGCTGTTCAGATTCTTTTGTCCCAAGAGGTGCTCCCTTGATGTGATGTTCTCTCCATTCCCCTATGAATGGGGCTTCCTGGGAGCCAAACTGTAGAAATTATTTTTGCTCTTCTGGGTCTAGCCACCCAACAGAGCTACTGGGCTCCAGGCTGGTACTAGGGAGTGTCTACAAAGAGTCCTATGATATTATCTATCTTCAGGTATTGCAGCCATGGATACCAGCACCTGCTCTAGTGGAGGTAGCAGGGGAGTGAAGTAAACTCTGAGGGTCTTTGATTTTGTTTTTGTTTTGATTTTGTTTTGTTTTAGGATTTGTTTTTGATTTTGATTTTGCTGGTTTTGTGTTGGTTGGCCTCTAGTCAGGAAGTGGCACTTTCAAGAATGCTTCAGCTGTGGCCCTATAGGGAGGATACAAACTTGACCCAGGGAGGACACCTGGTTAACTATTCAGGTTCCTCAGGTGGTGGGCAGGGCCACAGAGCTCCAAACAGATTATGACCTCTGTCTTCAGCTACCAAGGCAGGTAGAGAAAAATTACCAGGTTTGGGCAGGGGTAGGTGTGTCTGAGCTCAGTTTGTCCTTTAGCAGGGCTTGCTGCAGCTGCAGCTGCTGTGAAGGATAGTGGGTGTGGTATGCAGTCCAATGGAGTTATATTCCCAGGGGGTTTATGGCTGCCTCTGCTGAGTCATATAAGTCACCAGGGAAATTGGGGAAAGCCTGCAGTCACAGGCCTCACCCCACACCCATGCAGCTCACAGTCCCAAAGGCCAGTCTCACTTCTACCATGCCCCCCATAGCACGGAGTCTATTTCCAGGCAGCCAGTGACCAGGGCTGAGAACTTTTTCCAGACCGCAAGCCTCCTGCTGAGAAAGCAAGCCGACTCATGGGTTTTCAGTGTCTCAGGGAGCTTGCAGAAGTGATCCAGTTCCTTCAAAGGGTCTGCGGATTCTCTTGGCTTTTCTGGTATGTTCCTGCAGCAGTTCTTGGAGAAAAAGTTCACGATGTGAGTTTCCACACACTACTCTGTTCATCCAAACAGGAGCTAAAAGCTAGTGCTGCCTCTTATCCACCATCTTAATTCTTTTTGAATTAAGAACATTCTTTTGTGTTGGCATTTTGCTATGGGTTATTTTTTTCCACAGATGGATATTGCATTTATTAAATGTTTTCTTCTTCTTCTTTTTTTTTTTTTTTTTTGAGACAGCATCTCGCTCTTTCACTCAGGCTAGAGTGCAGTGGCATAATCTTGGCTGACTGCAACCTCTGCCTCTTGGGTTTAAGAGATTCTCCTCCCTCAGCCTCTTGAGTAGCTGGGACTACAGGTGCCCACCACCACACCTGGCTAATTTTTGTATTTCTAGTAGAGATGGGGTTTCACTATGTTGGCCAGGATGGTATCAAACTCCTGGCCTCAAGTGATTCACCCTTCTCGGCCTCACAATATTCTGGGATTACAGGCATGAACCACCACACCCAGTCTTATCAAATGTTTTCACCACATCTGTTGATATATATGCTTTTAAGATTATAGCACCCCCTCTAAGAACAGCACTAATCTACAAGTTTGACGTGTCCTATTTTGTTTTCTTTCTTTTGTGATTTCCAACTTTTATTTTAAGTTCAGCAGCACTTGCACATATAAAACTACTACAAGAAAATATACGGGTAAATCTTCATCGCTTTGGATTTGGCAATGGTTTCTTCAATGCGACACCAAAAGCACAAGCAACAAAAGAAAAATAAATTGAACTTTATCAAAATTAAAATAATTAATGCATGTATCTCTATATAAAAAGTGAAAAACCCCAAAGAATGGAAGAAAATTTTTGCAAATCACATATCTAACAAGGGTTTAGTACACAAAAAGTATAAAGAGTTCTTTAACTCAACAACAAAAATATCCTATTCAAAATGGGCAAAGAACTTGAGTGGGCATTTTTCCAAAGAAGCTATACAAATGACCAACAAGCACATGAAAAAATGCTCAATATTACTTGTCAATAGGGAAAAAACAAACAAAACCACAACGAGTTATCACTTCACACCCATTAGGGTCGCTATAATTTTTTTAAAGCCATTGAACTGTATACTTTAAATGGGTGAATTGCATGGTATATTAATAATATTTTAATAAAATTAAGGAAAAGACAGGAGGTAGGGGGAGAGATCACTTGAAGAATATACATCAAAATGTTTAACAACAGTGAGATTGTGAGTGAGAAAATTTAGTTTCCAAATGGCCAGTGGCTCACATTAAGTTGTCATGTGAACTTAAAGAAATAAGCATTAAAAATCACTCAATTTCTGGTCAAAACAGGAGTAAAAGAGACCAAATTTACCCTCCTTCCTGTGGTTCCAAAAAATAAATAAATAAAAGAATTAAAAAAAAAACTTTTTCAAGACACTGTACATCAGACAACAAAGGACAATGATCTTTGAGAGACAGAAACCCAACAAGGTAAGTGAAAATGTGCCTCAGCTTACTATTTTAAATTCCCAAGCCATGCTGCAGGGAGAAGAAAAGCAGGAAGTACCCAGCAGATCTCCTGAGTTGAGGAAACCAAGGTTGCTAGAATTCTCAGGACAGCATACCAGAGAGGAGAAAACTGTGTAGAACAGGAGTGCCTGAGACCCGCAGAGTTCTCCTCAGGTTTTCAGTTGATTACTGATCAACACATATTCTTTAAGAAATTACCTAAGGCTGAGGAAAGATCCACCCAAAAGAATTAGAGCTAGTGATACTTGGTTTTCCCAGGAGTCCAGGAATAGTGCCTGTTGCCACCAGCCAGACTTGGAAAATTTAAGATTCATAGGGCTTGGATAGAAAACACATAAGAGCCTTGCTTCAGTACTGGGGGATAATTAGCCCTAAACTGAGCACTGCCCTGGTCCGACCCGCCAAAACTTAAAAGTAAGAATATCCACAATAAACAAAAAACTCAGAACTCAGTAAGAAACAAACAACTCAATTAAAAATGGGGAAAAAAGTGAACACACTTCAACAAAAATTATGCAAAGGACAAATAAACATATGAAAAGATACTGAACATCATATGTCATTAAAAAAAATAAATAATTAAAACTCCAATGAGATACTACTTTACATCCACTAGGATTACTAAAATTTAAAAGACTGGCCATACCATTTGTTGCTAAGGATGTGGAAGAACTGGAACTCTCATGCACTACTGGTTGGAATGTAAAACGGTATGATGACTTTGGAAAACAACGTTATTGTTGCTTATAAGTTAAACAGACATCTACCATATAATCCAGATATCTACCAATTTCCTCTAGAGTATTTCCTCAAGTATTTACCTATGATAAAGAATATGCCCAAAGACTTTTGTAGGAATATTCACAGCAGCTTTGTTATATACAAAAACTGGAAGCTTGCAAATGTCTAAGTGGTATATTCTATAATGGAATAATGGAAATATAAACAAGTAACTATGGATACATGCAAAAACACAGATGAATCTCATAATAATATGCCTAGTAACAGCAGCCATATGCCTCCCCACAAAAGTTCACATACTGTATGATCACATTTATATAAAATTATATAGTATGCTAACTAAACTATAGCAACAGAAAGTAATCAGTTGTTACCTGGGCATGGCACAGAAGGAAGACGAGAAGAAGAAGACAGAGTTTATATAAAGGGCATGAGGAAATGTTAAATAAATGGTTATGTTCATTATTGTAATTTTGGTGATAATTTCATAGATGTATACAAAAGTCAAAACTTTTTCAGTTGTATAGATTAAATATGTACAGTTTATATACATCACTTATACATTAAGCCATATGAAAAAGGGGTCACTCCAAGGAAAATTTCATAATTTTCTGTGATATAACAAAGTTCATATTTCATATTTCATACCACACATTTTTTTCTGGTTTTTTCATAAATGAGAAATAATTTTTTCCTGCAAGGCTCTTTTTATACTCCATGATTCTTTCAATGTTTCCAACCTTATGAACAAAATGCTTTCAGTGAATACACAGACTATGTATGTTATTACAGCTATTCCTGCAGCTCATTCTAAGTTTTCATTTGTTTTGTAAGTATATTTGTAAATATATAAATATAAAAATATTTTATCTGAATTATATGCACACTGTAATAGTATTATCATAGTGACCTTAAGTTTTGAAATGAAATACCTTTTCTTATATGAATGAGCTTGACATATCTGACTAGTAATAGGTTGAAAAATCATATACCATATCTTTGCATTGGCTACATAATTAGATGTCTACATAGTATGTATATTCAAAATAGAATCTAGGTTTATTCCCAGCTTTGGCCAGGTAAGCCAAAAATAATTTGGTGCTGATGATATAAAAGTTTAACAAAATTGCAAACAGTCTTAAAAAGCAAATTGAGGTCTATTGAAACAATCCTTCACTATAGAAATCCAATAGCCAGGATTTTCTTTGGAATGCTAATGCAGCTGTTATTCATTGTAGGAATGTAGGACACACATTCAGGGCTGTATTTTTTAATAATAAGCAAGAGGATTTATGTTTCCTGCTGTAATCAGTAAATACAGCAAATCGACATTCTATGTTGAACTTTTTACTCCTCATTTCCACCTTCTTTTGTCTCCTCTTTCCCCCAAAAAGCAAAACATAGAAACAAACAAAAGCAAAACAGCATATAATAATCTCTTTATATTTTC
Organism: Homo sapiens; assembly: GCF_000001405.40. Classification (NCBI taxonomy): domain Eukaryota; kingdom Metazoa; phylum Chordata; class Mammalia; order Primates; family Hominidae; genus Homo; species Homo sapiens. The sequence goes on from NC_000014.9 coordinate 38,582,390, forward strand.
TCAATACTCTTGTGGGGGCCAATGGTCTTGCTAAAGTTGCTGAAAAATCAGACATGAGGACAACTGATTAATAGGAGAAAAGGCATACAAAGTTATTTAACTTGTATCCACAGGAGTCTTCAGAATGAAGACTCAAACCCCAGTGAACACCATCTTGAGGTTATAGAAAGAATGGGGGCCCAGCTGTGCATTGTGGCTCACGTCTGTAATCCCAGTGCTTTGGGAGGCCAAAGCGGGCGGATCACCTGAGGTCAGGAGTTTGAGACCAGCCTGGCCAACCTGGTGAGACTCCATCTCTACTAAAAATACAAAAATTATCCAGGCATGGTGGTGGGCGCCTGTAATCCCAGCTACTCAGAAGGCTGAGACAGGAGAATCGCTTGAACCCAGGAGGCGGAGGTTGCAGTGAGCTGAGATCATGCCACCGCACTCCAGCCTGAGTGACAGAACGAGACTCCATCTCAAAAAAGAAGAGGAGAGAGAGAGGAGAGGGGCGAAAAGAGAGTGGAGAGAGGACAAGCCGTCCATGTTAGGTAGATGAAGCCTCCTAGGCAGTAGCCATCAGAAAGAATAGATGGGAAATGTTTCTTTTTAGACTTTTTAAGGTGTCAGATTCTTAATTAATTTAAACTAGATCCAGGAAAAGCCTAGAAAGAGAAGTCATGGCTGCATTTACGGAGATTCTCTAAGATGCAAATTTCCCCCACAGAAGGCAGCTTTTGGGGGCCATTTCAGTGGGCTAGCCCTGTGGCAGCTATTTCATATGTCAAAAAATATATTTTGAGGTAAAATATTTTGATTTCCTTCACACTGGTGACAAATATTCTAGCAGGGCAGTAGGAAAGACTCTGACTTGAATAACTGTGAGGCTCTATATTTATGGGCCAGTTTATGGTTTTGTAAACCAAAAATAAAATTCTAAGCCCCGCAACTGATTGAATAGATCCCCCTCTATCTATTGAATAGATCCCAATGAGACCCCAAAGAAACCTAAAAAACTGAATTCCTGGTCTTGATGGGCAAATCAGACACGCCTCATTATACCCCCTCCCTTTTGGAGTTTAGGCACAACTGACTGGCATTAAGATTAAAACAGAGATCTCAAGACTGAAAAAACAGACTCTTTGTGGCAATAAGATACCAGATTATAAACAAAACCTAAGGCTATGCAGGGCAAGAGTTAAGTCACATCCTACAAACCATAAAATCTCATTAAACAGGGTTTACTTTTTAATTAAATGTGTATCGTATGGCTTATTTTATGACCTGACTCTGGTATCACATCACATGACAGCAGACTCTGAAGGAAATAAAAACATTTTACTGCAAAGTACATTTTTGACATATTTTGAAATAGCCCTGCAAAGCCATGTTTTGTGGTGGACACTTTCATCTGTGGAGACTCTTCACTAATGCAGGCAGGCCTTCCCTTTCTAGGCCTTTCCTGGATCTAGGAGAGATTAACTGAGAGTCTGACACCTCTAAGGTCTGAAAATAGACACTTTCCAATCTAGTCTCTCTGAAGGCAGCTAGGTAGGAGACTTCATCTACACAACAAATGCTTTGGCCCCTACAACCCTCTTATCTTAACCCAAGCATTTCTTTCTACTGACTTCAAGTCTTTAGACAATAGCTTAACTCTATCAACCTATTGTCAACTAAAGAATCCCTAAAGCCCACATATGACTTGTAAGGACCCTCTTTAAGATGCCATGCCTTTTGGGGATAAACCAATATATACCTTCCATGTATAATTCATGTTTTTTCCTGTAACTTCTGTCTCCTTAAAATGTATAAAACCAAACAGCTACCTAATCTCTTTGGGTGTACTTTCTCAGGAGCTCTTGAGACTATGTTTTCTGGGCTATGGTCAGTTATTGTCCAGAATAAATCTCTTTAAAATATTTTACAGAGTTTGGTTTTTCTGTTAACCATGAATTGAAGAGGGAAAATGCTCAATAAACATCTATAAATAGACATATTGACAATGACTAGGCACTTCAGGATTCTTTCATAAGGACTTCTGAAACATTTCCCAATGTGCTTTGCTAAGTAAACTTTAACAATAAGCCTTTTGCTCTCCCATTAGGTGGAAATTTTCACACATTAAAAGAATTGAGGATAATGGCATTAAAGCTGTTCAAGCCTGACCTACCAGAGTGCCTTTGCAGCAGTTAGAATTTACAAAACGCACTTGACAGATTATTCTACCTCACCTCAGTTCCTACCTACATCTGACTCTATGTAGAGTAATTAGCTCTTATCTGTTTTTTTTAAGTTCAAAGGTACACGTGCAGGTTTGTTATATAGACAAACTTGTGTCATGGGGGTTTGTTGTGTGGATTATTTAGTCACCCAGTTATTAAGCCTAGTACCCATTAGTTATTTTTCCTGATCCTCTCCCTCTTGCCACCCTCCACCTTCTGATAGGCCCCAGTGTGTGTGGTTCCCCTCTATGTGTCCATGTGTTCTCATCATTTAGCTCCCACTTCTAAGTGAGAACATGTGGTATTTGGTTTTCTGTTCCTGTGTTAGTTGGCTAAAAATAATGGCCTCCAGCTCTATCTATGCCCCTGCAAAGCACATGATCTCATTCTTTTTCATGTCTGCATAGTATTCATTTGTGTATCTGTACCACATTTTCTTTGTCCAGCCTATCATTGAGGGGAATTTAGGTTGATTCCATCACTTTGCTATTGTGAATAGTGCTGCAATGAAGATATGCATTCATGTGTCCTTATAATAATGTATATTCTTTTGGGTATATACCCAGTAATGGGATTCCTGGGGAAAATAGTATTTCTGTCTTTAGGTCTTTGAGGAATTGCCGCACTGTCTTCCACAATGGCTGAACTAATTTACTCTCCCACCAACAGTGTATAAGCATTCCTTTTTCTCTGCAACCTCGCCAACATCTGTTATTTTTTGAGTTTCTGACAATACTCATTTTGACCCATGTGAGATGATTTCACATCATGGTTTTGATTTACACTGCTCTAATGATCAGTGATGTTGAGCTTTTTTTCATATGACTGTTGCTGCATGTATGTCTTCTTTTGAGAAGTGTTTATTCATGTCCTTTGCCCACTTTTTAATAGGGCTGTTTTCTTGTAAATTTGTTTAAGTTCCTTATAGATGCTGGATATTAGACCTTTGTCAGATGCATAGTTCACAAAAATTTTCTCCCATTCTGTAGGCTGTCTATTCACTGTTTATAGTATCCTTTGATGTGCAGAAGCTCTTTAGTTTAGATCCCATTTGCCAATTTTTGCTTTTGTTGCAATTGTTTTCAGCATCTTGGTCATGAAATCTTTGCCCTTGCCTATGTCCAGAATGGTATTACATAGGTTGTCTTCCAAGGTTTTTACAGTTTTAGGTTTTACATTTAAGTCTTTAATTCATCTTGAGTTGATTTTTGTATATGGTGTAAGGAAGGGGTCCAATTCCAATCTTCTGCATATGGCTAGCCAGTTGTCCCAGCACCATTTATTGAATAGGGAGTCCTTTCCCCATTACTTATTTTTGTCAGGTTTTGCAAAGATCAGATGGATGTAGGTGTGTGTGGCCTTATTTATGGGTTCTCCATTCTGTTTCATTGGTCTATGTTTGTTTTTGTAACAGTACCATGTTGTTTTGTTTACTATAGCCCTGTAGTATAGTTTGAAGTTAGGTAATGTGCTACTTCCAGCTTTGTTCTTTTTGCTTAGGATTGCCCTGGCTATTCAGGCTTTTTTATTACATATGAATTTTAATATAGTTTTTTCCAATTCTATGAAGAATCTCCATAGTAGTTTAATAGAAATAGCACTGAATCTATAAATTGCTTTGGGAAGTATGGCCATTTTTTTGAAATTAATTCTTCCTATTCATGAGCATGGACTGTTTTTCCATTTGTTTGTGTCATCTCTAATTTCTCTGAGCAGTGTTTTGTAATTCTGTTGTGGAGATCTTTCACCTCCCTAGTTAGCTCTATTCCTAGGTGTTTTATTTTTTTGTGGCAATTGTGAATGGAATTGCATTTCTGATTTGGCTCCCAGCTTCACTATTGCTGGTGTATACCAATGTTAGTGATTTTTGCATGTTGATTTTGTATGCTGAGACTTTGCTGAATTTGTTTATCAGCTTAAGGAGTTTCAGGGCTGAGATTCTGGGGTTTCCTATATATAGGATCATGTTGCTGGCAAACAAGGATAGTTTGACTTCCTCTTTTCCTATTTGAATGACCTTTCTTTTTCTTGCCTGATTGCCCCAGCCAGAACATTCAATCCTATGTTGCATAGAAGTGGTGACAGAGGGCATCCTTGTCTTGTGCCAGTTTTCCACAATTTGCTTCCAGCTTTTGCTCATTCAGCATGATGTTAGCTTTGAGTTTGTCATAGATGGCTCTTATTTTGAGGTATGTTCCTTCAATACCTAGTTTGAGAGTTTTTTTTACCATGAAGGAGGGTTGGATTTTATTGTAAGCCTTTTCTGCATCTACTGAGGTAATCATCTACTGAGGTTATCTTTAATTCTGTTCATGTGAGAAATTACATTTATTGATTTGCATATGTTGAACCAACAACCTTGCATCCCAAGGATAAAGAATACTTGATCATGGTGCATAAGCTTTTTGATGTACTGCTGAAGTGTGTTTGCCAGTATTTTGTTGAGAATTTTTACATTAACGTTCATTAAGGGTATTGGCCTGAGGTTTTCTTTTGTGTTGTTGTTGCATCTCTGTCAATCCATGAGGCCAGCATCATCCTGATACCAAAATCTTTACAGGTTCATAGAAAGTGTTAGGGAGGAGTCTCTCCTCCTCAATATTTTGGAATAGTTTCAGTAGGAATGGTACCAGCTCTTCTTTGTACATCTGGTAAAATTCAGCTATGAATCCTTCTGGTCCTGGGCTTAGTTTAGTTAGCAGGCTATTTATTACTCACAATTTCAGAGCTCATTATTTGTCTTTGCAGGGATTCAATTTCTTCTTGGTTCAATCTTGGGAGAGTGTATGTGTCCAGGAATTTATCTATTTCTTCTAGATTTTCTAGTTTATGTGTATAGTGGAGTTCATAATATTCTCTGATGGTTCTGTGTATTATTGTGAGGTCAGCGGTAACATCTTCCTTGTCACATGTGATTGTGTTTGTTTGAATTTTCTCTCTCTTATTATTCTACCTAGCACTCTATTTTATTAATTTTTTCAAAAAACTAGTTCCTGGACTTGTTGATCTTTTGAATGGTTTTCCATGCCTCAATCTCCTTCAGTTCAGCTCTGATTTTGATTATTTCTTGTCATCTGTTTGCTTTGGTGTTGGTTTGCTCTTGGATCTCTAGTTCTTTTGTTGTCATGTTAGGTTGTTAACTTGAGATCTTTCTAACTTTTTGCTGTGGGCATTTAGTGCTATATATTTCTCTCTTAACATGGTCTAAGCTGTGTCCCAGAGATCAAGGTATGTTGTACTTTTCTCATTGGTTTGAAAGAACTTCTTGATTTCTGCCTTAATTTCATTATTTACCCAAAAGTCATTCAAGAGCAAGATATTCAATTTCCATATAATTTTGTGGTTTTAAGTCAATTCTTTAGTCTTGATATTTGATTACATTGCTTTCCAAGAGAGAGTTTGTTATTATTTCTGTTCTTTTGCATCTGCTGAAGAGTGCAGATCATCAATTATATGATGAATTTTATAGTATGTTCCATGTTGTGATGAGAAGAATGTGTATTCCGTTTTTGGGTGGTGAGTTCTATAAATGTCTATTAGGTACATTTGATCTAGTGCTGAGTTCAGGTCTTGAATATCTTTGTTAATTCTCTGCCTATTGAAGGCACTCTAATATTAGTGGGGTGTTAAAATCTCTCACTATTATTATGTGGGAGTCTAAGTCTCTTTGAAGGTTTCTAAGAACTTGCTTTATGAATCTGGGCCCTTCTGTTTTGGGTACATTTATATTTAGAATAGTTAGGTCTTCTTATTGAATTGAACCATTTACTATTATGTAATGCCTTTGTCTTTTTTTGTTTTTGTTGGTTTAAGGACTGTCTTGTTAGAAACCAGGATTGCAACCCCTGCTTTTTTCTGTTTTCCATTTGCTTGGTAAATTTTTCTTCATTATTTTATTTTGAGCATCTGTGTGTCATTGCATGTGAGATGGGGCTCTTGAAGAGAGCATACCAATGGGTCTTGGTTCTTTATCCAGCTCCCACTGTATCTTTTAATTAGGGCATTTAGCCCATTTATATTCAAGGTTAGTATTGATATGTGTGGATTTGATCCTGTCTTCATGGTGTTAGCTATTTTGCTGCTCCTACTATTTCTTTAAGCAGCTCTCCCTACCAACTCAAGTGTCCATGGTGGTTGCAAGGTCAGCTGAGAGAAAGGAAAAATAGACCCAAAGTCAGGCAAGTAAGTTTGTTGAACCTGCCGGCTGCTCCATACAGACAGAGGAGGCAGCCCTGAGCTTACAAAATGAGGAATTTATATGGGGGAGAGAGACCTTGGGGTTGTTTGTTGGTTAACTTTGCCAGATATCACCTTGTGACATTTATAGTAGCAGCTAGATAGAGGAACTTACAGGAGGGTGTAGGTAAAGTTTGTTTATGCTTCCCAGGACCTTCACCTGTGTGGTCTGGATGGCTTGTAGTTGGGGTTTGTTTATTGCAGCAAGGCCTGAAAAGTGAAGTCTGCTGGCTCTACCCTAGCACCTGGATAAGGGCTTAGAAATGTGAAGAGGCTAGGGGGAAGGGTGAACGGCACGAAGAAGAGTTGCAGGGCATTAAGGGGAGGGGTGGGCAGTACAGAGGGGTTTTGGGGGAGTGTCAGCAGTACCAAGAAGCTTTTTGGGGTAGTTTGTCCCTAAAAGTCGTCAAGGGGGTTGACCTGCTGGGGTTCCAGAGTCCAGTGGTAACAGGAGGTTGCTCCTTGCCAGTTCAACTCACCTGTTACCCTGGAGCTGTTGTGGTCTAGAAATGAGTCCCAGTGCATGGTAGCCTCATGCAAGGTTCTCAGTTTTCTCCCACTTCAGCCCAGCTTCTGTGTCTTCCCTCCATCCATTCTTGGTGCCTTCCCTATGAAGATTTGTTAAAAGCATGCCCGTCATCTCAGTCCCTTGGTGAGAGCTGTTCCACCTGGCTGGGACTAGTCAGCCATCTTTCCCTCTCTTAGTTTTTAAATTGGTGTCTTGACTCAGTTTTGAGGCCCTGGCTAGAGGACAGTCAGTTACCCCTCTTGAATAGATGATGAAGTCCGCACCTCCAACCACTTCCCCAGGAGCCAGGCCATTATATACAAAGCCTAATTTCCCCAGGGTCAGCCCCTAAGGCCCCACAGCTCACTGAAATTATTGATGCTAGCCAATCCTAACCCTGCTAACCCTAACCCTGCTTGCCCTGCCTGCAGAAAACACAATAAAGGCACTTGCCCTCAGTTGCCCTCTCTCGCTCTGCCTCATGACTGACTGCAGTGCTTCTGCTGAGTGTTCCTGTGTTCTCCCCAGGAAACTGTGAGGCACAAAACTGTAAAACTCTTTCCGGTTTCTCCTAATCTGTTCTGAACTCACCATACCTTGCTCAAGGTAATATGGTTAATGCAGAAGGGAAGGGAAGGAAGAAAGGGAAGGAGGAAGGGAAGGAAGAAAGGGAAGGAGGAAGGGAAGGAAGAAAGGGAAGGAGGAAGGGAAGGAAGAAAGGGAAGGAGGAAGGGAAGGAAGAAAGGGAAGGAGGAAGGGAAGGAAGAAAGGGAAGGAGGAAGGGAAGGAACTACTTTAATTGGCTCCTAAAAGTAGCATGTTTCTTTTGAGTAAAACTCAGCTTAAGCTAACAATATTTGAATGGAGTGTAAGCTCTTTATAAAAGGGATAAAATGTATCAACAGTTTACTTACATAAGTTATGATGGCTATAAACTGATCACTACATGAGTCAGGCCATGTGCTTATATCCAGTTATGTTATCTTACGTACTTCTGCAAAAGCTCTATAAACTACTATTATATCTATGTAAAAGACAAGACTCTGAAGCACAAAGAAACTTAAAAATCGTCTAAAATCACAGAGCAAGCAAATGGTGGAGCTGGGATTTGAACTCAGGTTTATCTATTTTTATTTTTTATTTTTTAAATTTATTTTATTTTTTATTTTATTTATTTTTTTTCTTTTTTGAGACAGAGTCTCGCTCTGTCACCCAGGCTGGAGGGCAGTGACGTGATCTCAGCTCACCGCAACTTCCACCTCCCATGTTCAAGCAACTCTCCCCTGCCTCAGCCTCCCAAGTAGCTGGGACTACAGGTGTGCACCACCACACCCAGCTAATTTTTTTGTATTTTTAGTAGAGACGGGGTTTCACCATATTGGCCAGGCTGGTCTCAAACTCCTGACCTCAGGTGATCCACCCGGCTCAGCCTCCCAAAGTGCTGGGATTACAGGCGTGAGCCAGCGCGTCTGGCTGAACCCAGGTTTATCTAGATGCAGAACCTAAGCTCTTAAGCCATACTAACTCCACTACCTCCAAGTAGCTGCTCATCCAATAAATATTTATTGGGCATATGGCAGACATTGTATTACGGGTTAGAGAACAAGACACTAAACAGGTACTAGAAAGATATTCATTTTCTAGTGAAAGATTAGCTATTTATCTATAAGTATCAGATTGCCTGATAGGCATTAGATGAAATTTTCTCCAGGCACTACAAATATATAGCTATTTATTTGATTAAGCAACATCTTACAGGATACAAATGAAAAATGTTCTACTACTACTACCCGTTGCCCCTTCCCTCAATGTACACACACACACACACACACACACAGACACACAGACATACAGACACACACACACACACACACCTATTCTATTAAACTCATTTTTTTGGATAGTTCTGCCTCTGTCCAAGGTTAGAATCTCAAGAAAATCCCATAACGTTTATATGGCTACTCTCAAATAATAAAAATTTCTCAGGTCACTTTTAGCTGAAAGAAGTTGTTCTTTCAATAATTAAAATGTGTGGTGCAGTGTAATCATCAAACCCTACATATCTTTCAAAGTTAAGACTTCTCCCAGGTCAAACCCCTTCTAGCCCAGGAAGCCTGGAGTAAGAAAGGCAAATGTGGTCACCAGCACCTGCTTCAATTCCCTGCCTTGCTCCTCTGCTCCTCCCTTTCCACTTTTATGTTTTCTGACCCCTTCAGGGAATAGGCCTTAAGCTGTGCTCTGGGCTTGGTGGATGTTTATAATTACAAGACACCTCTGTAGGTTTCTCAGAGATTCAATATCCTCCACTGGAAACCTCCCATTGCATGTCCCAGAACAGAGGTCATATCTCGCTGGCCTCTTTTAAGCTCCAATTTCAGCCCTAACACTCTGGGGGCCCATGCCATACAGACTATCTTGTTGGAATCCAATAAATAGCCCACCACCACTGCCTACCACTTGAAGCTCCTTTGAAGGATTATTCTAAGGATGTTTCATTCTTCTGCTTGGCCCTCAGAGGAAACATCATTACCCAACCATTGCTGCTAAACTACACTGGTGCAGTTTTTCCCCGCAATGGCCCAATGGCTTTTCACCCTTAGAGCCCTGAAGTCTGAGGAAGATATCAATCCACTAGGTCCCTGAATTTTTTATGTCAAGTTCTGCCTCCCACAGGCTTGAGGTAAACAGGAAACATTGGGCTGTCCTCCTCCATGTAAACACTGCGATAGAAGACCAGTTGCTGGAGTTCTGGGATGGCTCAGAACCCCAGCAACTGGTCTTCTCCTATCCCAGTGCTTTCACATGCCAGATGACCACATCCTTGGCATGTTAGCACCTCACTTTGGAATAGGGAGATGCCTGGGAAATACTGTTTTGTTCTCAGCCTTTGAGGCCTTAGCCAAAATCAAGACAGAGTCTCATTTAACATTCTGTTTCAAAAACATAAAGAAAAATGCTCAGGAGAATAAATGACACATCACAGTAAAAACTGTCTCTATATAATCATTTTCTAATATTTTCCATTAGGGAAATATTAGAGATTGGCCTTCTAATTTTGACTGTCCCCCTAGAAATGTCTAGTCAATCTGAGTAAATTGTTAGCCCTTATAGTCTTCACCTATAATTATATATATATGTATATATAATTATTTAAAGATTGTTGCATAGTCTTTCCAGGAAAATATGGCTCTGTCATTTGAGGCTCACATGATGGAGTGGTTATTGAAACATCAGTCGTTTTAGCCAATAACATGAACAGAAGACATTTTAGCCCATCAAATTTAAGCCAGGCATACAGACCCTGGTACCTGTTGGCAGACTTGTCCAAAGTGAGCACCTCTTGATTTATGAATAATCTGTACTTCCAGAATCACTGTTTTCTCCTATATGCAGGGACACACCACCACCTCAGGAGACCAATAAAGCTCAAAATGTTTTGACAACGTTAGAAATTGTATGAAAAGAATTAATAGTGGCATCTCAAAAACTAAATATTTTGTTCTCTTCAAGTACTGACCAAGAACGGAAGAGGCTTCATGGAAAAGCTACTTGAGAAGTTCTGGAAAACAAATCTTTAGCACTCAGTCCTTTTTTCTGTGTTGATGCGTCATTTGAGGCACTGCTATTTATGAGCCTACAGCTGAGGACTCTGTAGTGCCAGACAACTTAATCTTCCCTGATGTTATGGACTGAATGGTCGTGTACCCCCTTTCCACCAAAATTCATGTGTTGAAGCCCTAACCCTAGGGGTGGCTGTAACTGGAGTATGAAACTAATCAAGGTTAAATGAGTATAGGGCTCTGATCTGATTAGTGTCCTTACAGGAAAAGACACAGAGCTCACTCTCTTTCCTTCTCCATGTGCACACACTGAGGAAAGGCCATGTGAGGACACAGCAAAAACATGGCCATCTGCAAGGCAGGAAGAGTGTCCTCACCAGAAACTGAATTGGCTGGAAACTTGATCTTGGACTTCTGGCATCCAGAACTGTGAGAAAATAAATTTCTGTTTTTTAAACCGCCCAGTCTACGGTATTTTGTTATGGCGGCCCAAGCCGACTAATATATCCAATAACCTAGCAAGGGAGGAGAGGACAAAAAGACATTTCCTTCCTCTTTTTCAAAATGAGATCCCATACATTTCCAAGGATGTGTAAAAATATTAATATCTTGCTTTTACATACTATGTTTATACCCATAGTTCTATTTATTCTTCACAATCTTTCAGTTAGTCGGACGTAACATTAATAATCCAATTTTACAGATGAGATAGAAGGAAGCTAAGCCAAGAGCTTTTGACTCCTAGCCGGATGCAGATGCCTTGGAGTATGCCTACAGATCTTTCCATTCCTGAGTGTGCTTGCAATTAGAGCATTTTGAGGAAGTCCTGCACTCGTTCAAGAATAAAACACTAGACTCCAAAAGTTACTTCTTAACAGATAAGCATAATCACAAAGAGAACAGTAGCCATAAATAATGTTGAAGAGAAAAAAAATTTTTAAGTTGGAACTGTGCTCATTTTCAATAATTTTCATTATTAATTTAGAGTTATAGTAATTTCCACCTTTCAATGAAAGCTTTTTTATACACCACATTTCAGCTTTGGATATCTGTGACACAAAGGAATAAATCTTGGTCACTTCTTATCCTTGAACACATTATGTACAGCTCCTACTAGGAGAAAAAGCTCAGCTACAATATGAAGTTCAGAACATCCACACTTCTGATTAATCTGGAGCAGTGGAACATTTAAAGAAATAGGTTCTCTCTGGAGAACCAATGCTCTGCATTCCATTGAGAGGCCCTTCTATAGGCCTTGGTGCTATATTTCAAAAATCTAGGCCCTGAATGGCACAGCATTAATAAAGATTTAGCAGCCAAATAATTGCACTAACATGACTTTAGCATAGAACAACATATACTTTTAGGCTCATCTTTCTGTTGTGTAAATCAATGATGAAAAACTTCAAAAATTGGACCAATGTTAGACTGCTTAGGGTAATTGATTTGGAACATGTTTAAGACATTTTTTATCCATCTATGAATTCTTAAATATTTCTTATGCCTAAGAGGCAGCCAAAAATGCCTTTCAATGACCTTTGGTATTGACTCTTCCTAATAGAGAATGTCTCTGTTTGCTCCCATTTCAATGGCTCTTGAGGATGACTACCTAATGCTGGGGAAAATGTTGGCTGCTTTTAGCAGGCACGCCTGTCAATACCAACAGTTATACCATTCTACTCTTTCAGTTCAGTATCCATTGTACTGGAAAATGAAGCCCTATCTCTGAGTATTTATTCCTCTCCAGATTGGCTGTCAAAAGCTCTTTATGTTGAATTTCTTTCTTATTTGGCCCTCAAAAGAGTCAGTCTCTCCTAATTGATCTGCAAATGATTATCACATTCAGAAAAAAATGGAATCTTTGTCTAATATACAACATAAATTTGAGTTATAGTAGTATTTTGTTTGTAGATTTTTTGTGTGCACCTAGAGAAAAGAGATTTTAAAATCAAAAACATAAAAAAATTAATGAAAAAAATTAAAAATGATTTAAGGCATCATAAATAACCTAAATATCCACTAATAGAGGGTTGATATAGATCAGATGTAATATGATAAATATGTAGCTATATAGATTTATGATGATATTTCCATTCAGTAAAGTACTCTGCTTCTAATATAAATGATACTATGACAATGAAGCTTCTGCTTCTACAGAGCAGACTATGCACTAGGTGTTTATATCTCCTTCCTCAAAAATGTCTATAAAAATAACAGCAAAGAAATATGGAGGGCAGTTATCTCAGCACTAGGAAAGGAAGACAAAGCCATCAGCAGACCAGAAATTTGTTAAAATCTCTAAAACATAGTAGGTAGATGGAATTAGATAAGAATGAAGACGTAAACGTCCCAGGACCAAGGACACATAGTTCCAAATTAAAATAAGTAAATGCTGAGCAGAATGAATGACAAAGACCAATATATAGAAATACCTCTACAAAATTTTGTAACACATCAAAGATAAAAAGAATATCCTAGAAGCTTCCAGGAAGAGGCTTTGGAAACCAGTTACATAAGGCCCCTGCTGTGAGGTTTATTATCTGCCTTTTTTTTGTTGTTGTTGTTAATACTTTAAATTCTGGGATACATGTGCAGAACATGCAGGTTTTTTACATAGGTATACAGGTGCCATGGTGGTTTGCTGCACCCATCAACCTGTCATCTACATTAGGTATTTCTCCTAACGCTCTCCATCCCCTAGCCCCCCACTCCCCAATAGGCCCTGGTGTGCAATGTTCCCCTCCGTGTGTCCATGTGTTCTCATTGTTCAAGTTGCACTTATGAGAATATGTGGTGTTTGGTTTTCTATTCCTGTGTTAATTTGCTGAGAATGATAGTTTCCAGCTTCATCCATGTCCCTGGAAAGGACATGAACTCATCCTTTTTTATGACTGCATAGTATTCCATGGTGTACATGTGCCACATTTTCTTTATCAAGTCTAACACTGATGGGCATTTGGGTTGGTTCAAAGTCTTTGCTATTGTGAATAGTGCTGCAATAAACATACATGTGCATGTGTCTTTGTAGTAGAATGATTTATAATCCTTTACATATATACCCAGTAATGGAATTGCTGGGTCAAATTTATTTCTGGTTCTAGATCCTTGAGGAATCGCCACACTGCCTTCCACAATGGTTGGACTAATTTACACTCCCACCAACAGTGTAAAAGCGTTCCTATTTCTCCACAACCTCTCCAGCATCTGCTGTTTCCTGACTTTTTAATGATTGCCATTCTAACTGGCATGAGATGGTATCTCATTGTGGTTTTGATTTGCATTTCTCTAATGACCAGTGATGACGAGCTTTTTTTCATATGTTTGTTGGCCACATAAATGTCTTCTTTTGAGAAGTGTCTGTTCATATCCTCCACCCACTTTTTGATGGGGTTGTTTTTTTCTTGTAAATTTGTTTAAGTTCCTTGTAGATTCTGGGTATTAGCCCTTTGTCAGATGGATGGATTGCAAAACATTTCTCCCATTCTATAGGTTGCCTGTTCACTCTGATAATATTTTCTTTTGCTGTGCAGAAACTATTAGTTTAATTAGATCTCATTTGTCAATTTTGGCTTTTGTTGCCATTGCTTTTGGTCTTTTAGTCATGAAGTCTTTGCTCATGCCTATGTCCTGAACGGTATTGCCCAGGTTTTCTTCTAGGGATTTTATGGTTTTAGGTCATACGTATAAGTCTTTAATCCATCTTGAGTTAATTTTTGTATAAGGTGTAAGGAAGGGGTCCAGTTTCAGTTTTCTGCATATGGCTAGCCAGTTTTCCCAACACCATTTATGAAATAGAAAATCCTGGACAGATGTGGTGACTCACACCTGTAACACCAGCCCTTTGGGAGACTGAGGCCAGCGAATCACAAGGTCAGAAGATCAGGACCATGCTGGTGAACATGGTAAAACCCCGTCTCTACTAAAAATACAAAAATTTAGCCAGGCATGGTGGCCGACAACTGTAATCCCAGCTACTCAGGAGGCTGAGGTTGCAGTGAGAATTGCTTGAACCCCGGAGACAGAGGTTGCAGTGAGCCGAGATCATGCCACTGCACTCCAGCCTGGGTGACACAGCAAGACTCCATCTCAAAAAAAAAAAAAAAAAATATATATATATATATATACACACGTATATATGTGTGTGTATATATACATATATACGTGTATATGTGTGTGTATATATATATGGAATCCTTTCCCTATTGCTTGTTTTTGTCAGGTTTGTCAAAGATCAGATGGTTGTAGATGTGTGGCATTATTTCTGAGACCTCTGTTCTCTTTCATTGGTCTATATATCTGTTTTGGTACAAGTACAATGCCGTTTTGGTTACTGTAGCCTTGTAGTATAATTTGAAGTCAGGTAGCATGATGCCTCCAGCTTTGTTCTTTTTGCTTAGGATTGCCACAGCTATACAGGCTCTTTTTGGGTTCCATATGAAATTTAAAGTGCTTTTTTCTGATTCTGTGAAGAAAGTCAATGTTAGCTTGATGATGATAGCATTGAATCTATAAATTACTTTGGGCAATATGGCCATTTTCACAATATTGATTCTTCCTATCCATGAGCATGAAATAGTTCTCCATTTGTTTGTGTCTTCTCTTATTTCCTTGAGCAGTGGTTTGTAGTTCTCATTGACGAGGTTCTTCACATCCCTTTAAGTTGTATTCCCAGGTGCTTTATTCTCTTTGTAGCAATTGTGAATGGGAGTTCACTCATGATTTGGCTGTTTGTCTGTTATTGGTGTATAGGAATGATTGTGATTTTTGTACATTGATTTTTGCATCCTGAGACTTTGTAGAAGTTGCTTATCAGCTTAAGGAGATTTTGGACTGAGACAATGGGGTTTTCAAAACATACAATTATGTCATCCACAAAGAGAGACAATTTGACTTCCTCTTTTCCTAATTGAATACACTTTATTTCTTTCTCTTGCCTGATTGTCCTGGCCAGAACTTCCAATACTATGTTGAATAGGAGTGGTGAGAAAGGGCATCCTTTTCATGTGCCAGTTTCCAAAGGGAACGTTTCTATCTTTTGCCCACTCGGTATGATATTGGCTGTGGGATTGTCATAAATAGCTCTTATTATTTTGAGATACATTCTATTGACACTTAGTTTATTGAGAGTTTTTAGCATGAAGGGGTGTTGAATTTTGTCAAAGGCCTTTTCTGCATCTATTGAGATAATCATGTGGTTTTTGTCATTGGTTCTGTTTATGTGATGGATTACGTTTATTGATTTGTGTATGTTGAAGCAGCCTTGCATCCCAGGGATGAAGCAGACTCAATCGTGGTGGATAAGCGTTTTGATGTGCTGCTGGATTTGGTTTGCCAGTATTTTATTGAGGATTTTTGCATTGATGTTCATCAAGGATACTGGCCTGGAATTTTCTTTTTTTGTTGTGTCTCTGCCACGTCTTGGTATGAAGATGATGCTGGCCTCATAAAATTAGTTAGAGAGGAGTCCCCTTTTTTATTGTTTGGAATCATTTCCAAAGGAATAGTACCAGCTCCTTTGCACATCTTGTAGAATTTGGCTATGACTCTGTCTAGTCCTGAGCTTTTTTTGGTTGGTAGGCTATTAATTACTGCCTCAATTTCAGAACTTGTTATTGGTCTATTCAGGGATTTGACTTCTTCCTGGTTTAGTCTTGAAAGGGTGTATGTTTCCAGGAATTTATCCATTTCTTCTAGATTTTCTAGTTTATTTGTGTAGAGGTGTTTATACTATTCTCTGATGGTAGTTTGTATTTCTGTGGGATCAGTGGTGATATCCCCTTTATCGTGCTTTATTGTGTCTTTTTTATTCTTCTCTCTTTTCTTCTTTATTAGTCTTGCTAGCAGTCTATTTTGTTAATCTTTTCAAAAAACCAACTCCTAAATTCATTCATTTTTTGGGTTTTTCATGTCTCTATCTCCTTCAATTCTGCTCTGGTCTTAGTTATTTCTTGTCTTCTGCTAGCTTTTGAATTGGTTTGCTCTTGCTTTTCTAGTTCTTTTAATTGTGATGTTAGGGGGTCGATTTTAGATCTTTCTCACTTTCTCCTGTGGGCATTTAGTGCTATAAATTTCCCGCTAAACCCACCTTTAGCTTTGTCCCAGAGATTCTGGTACATTGTGTCTTTGTTCTCATTGGTTTCAAAGAACTTATTTATTTCTCCCTTACTTTTGTTATTTACCCAGTAGTCATTCAGGAGCAGGTTGTTCAGTTTCTGTGTACTTGTGGTTTTGAGTGAGTTTCTTAATCCTAATTTGATTGCACTGTGATCTGAGAAACTGTTATAATTTCCATTTTCTTGCATTTGCTGAGGAGTGTTTTACTTCCAATTATGTGGTCAATTTTAGAAAAAGTGCTATGTGGTGCTGAGAAGCATGTGTATTCTGTTGATTTGGGGTTGAGAGTTCTGTAGATGTCTATTAGGTCCGCTTGGTCCAGAGCTGAGTTCAAATCCTGAATATCTTTGTTAATTTTCTGTCTCATTGATCTAATATTGACAGTGGGGTGTTAAAATCTCCCACTATTACTGTGTGGGAGTCTAAGTCTCTCTGCAGGTCTCTAAGAACTTGCTTTATGAATCTGGGTGCTCCTGTATTGGGTGCATATATATTGGATAGTTAGCTCTTCTTGTTGCATTGATCCCTTCACCATTATGTAATGTCCCTCTTTGTCTTTTTTTATCTTTGTTGGTTTAAAGTCTGTTATATCAGAGACTAGGATTGCAACCCTTTTTTTTTTCCATTTGCTTGGAAAATAAATCTTCCTCCATCCCTTTATTTTGAGCCTATGTGTGTCTTTGCACGTGAGATGGGTCTCCTGAATATAGCACACAAATGGGTTTTGACTCTTTATCCAATTTGCCAGTCTGTGTCTTTTAATTGGTGGCATTTAGCCCATTTACATTTAAGGTTAATATTGTTATGTGTGAATTTGATCCTGTCATTATGATGCTAGCTGGTTATTTTGCCTGTTAGTTGATGCAGTTTCTTCATAGTGTCAATGGTCTTTACAATTTGGTTTGTTTTTGCAGTGGCTGATACTAGTTTTTTTTCTTTCCATATTTAGTGATTCCTTCAGAAGCTCTTGTTAGGCAGGCCTGGTGGTGACCAAATCTCTCGCATTTGTTTGTCTGTAAAGGATTTTATTTCTCCTTTGCTTATGAAGCTTAGTTTGGCTGGATATGAAATTCTGGGTTGAAATTCTTTTCTTTAAGAATGTTGAATATTTTTCCCCTCTCTCTTCTGGCTTGTAGGGTTTCTGCAGAGAAATCTGCTGTTAGTCTGATGGGCTTCCCTTTGTGGGTAACCTAACCTTTCTCTCTGGCTGCCCTTAACATTTTTTTCTTCATTTCAACCTTGGTGAATCTGACGATTATGTGACTTGGGGTTGCTCTTCTCAAGAAATATTTTTGTGGTGTTCTCTGTATTTCCTGAATTTGCATGCTGGCCTGTCTTCCTAGGTTGGGGAAGTTCTCCTGGATAATATCCTGAAGAGTGTTTTCCAACTTGGTTCCATTCTCCCCATCACTTTCAGGTACACCAGTCAAACATAGATTTGGTCTTTTCACATAGTCCCATATTTCTTGGAGGCTTTGTTTGTTCCTTTTCACTGTTTTTTCTCTAATTTAGTCTTCACACTTTATTTCATTAAGTTGATCTTCAATCTCTGATATCCTTTTTTCCACTTGATTGATTCAGCTATTGATACTTCTGTATGCTTCACAAAGTTCTCGTGCTGTGTTTTTCAGCTCCATCAGGTCATTTATGTTCTTCTCTAAACTGTTTATTCTAGTTAGCAATTTGTCTAACCTTCTTTCAAGGTTGTTAGCTTCCTTGCCTTGGGTTAGAACATGCTCCTTTAGCTCCTCCTTTAGGAGGATTTTGTTATTACCTACCCTTCTGAAGCCTACTTCTGTCAATTCATCTATCTCATTTTTCCATCCAGTTTTGCTCCCTTGCTGGTGAGGAGTTGTGATCCTTTGGATCACAAAGGCATTCTGGTTTTTGGAATTTTCAGCCTTTTTGTGCTAGTTCTTCCTCATCTTCACGGATTCATCTACCTTTGGTCTTTGATGTTGATGAGTTTCAGATGAGGTTTCTGTGTGGACATCTTTTTTGTTGATGTTGATGCTATTCTTTTCTGGTTTTTAGTTTTCCTTCTAACAACCAGGCCCCTCTTCTGCAGGTCTGCTGCTGTTTGCTGGAGGTCCACTCCAGACCCTGTTTGCCTGGGTATCACCAGTGGAGGCTGCAGAACAGCAATGATTGCTGCCTGTTCCTTCCTCTGGAAGCTTCGTCCCTGAGGTGCACCTGCCAGGTGCCAGCTGGAGCTCTCCTGTATGCAGTGTCTGTCAACCCCCGCTGGGAGGTATCTCCCAGTCAGTAGGCATGGGGGTCAGGGCACCACTTGAGGAGGCAGTCTGTCCTTTAGCAGAGCTTGAGTGCTGTGCTGGGAGATCCACTGCTCTCTTCAGAGCTGGCAGGCAGGAACATTTAAGTCTGCTGAATCTCTGCCCACAGCTGCCCCTTCCCCCAGGTCCTCTGTCCCAGGGAGATGGGAGTTTTATCCATAAGTCCCTCACTGGAACTGCTGCCTTTCTTTCAGAGATGCCCTGCTCAGAAAGGAGGAATCTAGAGAGGAAATCTGGCTACAGCGGCTGTGCCAGGCTGCAGTGGGCTCCACCCAGTTCGAACTTCCTGGCAGCTTTTTTTAAACTGTGAAGGGGAAACCACCTACTTAGGCCTCAGTAATGGCAGATGCCCCTCCCCACACTAAGCTGGAGCATCCCAGGTCGACTTCAGACTGCTGTGCTGGCAGCAAGAGTTTCAAGCCAGTGGATCTTAGCTTGCTGGGCTCCGTGAGGGTGGGATCCACTGAACTAGACCACTTGGTTCCATGGCCTCAGCCCTCTTTCCAGGGGAGTGAATGGTTCTGTCTTGCTGGCGTTCCAGGCACCACTGGGGTATGGAAAAAAAAAAAAAAAAAAAAAACTCCCGCAGCTAGCTTGATGTCTGCCCAAAGGGCTGCCTGGTTTTGTACTTGAAACCCAGGGTCCTGGTGGCGTAGGCACCTGAGGGAATCTCCTGCTCTGCGGGTTATGAAGACCATGGGAAAAGCATAGTATCTGGGCCAGAGTGCACTGTTCCTCACAGCACATACCTCATGGCTTCCCTTGGCTAGGGGAGGGAGTCCCCCAACCTCTTGTGCTTCCTGGGTGAGGGAATACCCCACCCTGCTTCGGCTCGCCCTCCGTGGGCTGCACCCACTGTCTAACCAGTCCCAATGAGATGAGCCACGTACCTCAGTTGGAAATGCAGAAATCACGCACCTTCTGCATTGACCTCACTGGGAGCTGCAGACTGTAGCTGTTCCTATTCAGCCATCTTGACAGCCATGCCCCATTATCTGAATTCTTATAGCCATGAAATTGCGTAGGGAAGCAGTCATGCCTCAAAAGTATTCATTAATGAACTTGTAAAATTAATCCTGACTCACTCAAATACCCCAACCCTATCTTAATAAATGTGTGATAAATACATAACACAACTTTATTTCAAAGTAAAATTGCAAAACTTGAAAAGATGTAAGATTTCATAGAGTAGATAAAAGTGTTGGTAACCTTTTAAGTCACCAACAAAGTTAGCTAAATGAGGATTAGCAGAGGCAGGTCAATTAAGGATGAAGGAGAAGAAAATCAACCAGAAAAAAAATGACAAGAACGGGTCTTCAAAGAAGAATCATTCAACAATCAAAGGATTTAAGATAGGCCCTTGGTAAAAGTCTTGAAATATTTTTATAAAAGTTATTATCTTTATGATTGTGTTGGAAAGTGAAATATAAACTTAGAAGATGTCATAGCATGGTATCATTTATTCTTATCAGAAAATAGCATCCCAATAATCCATTTTAAATGGATTATAATAAGTGGACTGATCTGGTGCTAATTTTCCTAGAAAACAGAAGGAAGATTTCCTGTATGTACAGCCAAACCAAAGACATAATAATGTTAGTCTTCTCATAAGCAACAATAAATGTTAAAAACAGTGGGAAAATGTCTTAAAAATTCTGAGATAAAATGACTTTAAATCAAGAATTTTATACATAAACAAACTACCAATGAAGTGTTTATCTTCCATGTATTCTTCTTCTGAAAAAATAGGCACTCCAGAAGTATTTTGAGAGAGACTGAGAACAAAAGCTAGACACACACACACACACACACACACACACACACACATACAGAGAGAGAGACAGAGAGAGAAAGAGAGAGAGAGAGAGAGAGAGAGATTGAGAGAAGAGAAGCCAAGAAAATAGAATGGAAGACATAAAGAGATGAAGAGATTTCTGCTTTAGGTATGAGGGGATAAAGTAATTCAAACCAAATCAGACTACCCTCTGGGAAAAAAATACACAAAACTTGATATAAATATGTTATTTAAAAAGTTTCTTAAAAGCATCAAAAGCATGTCAGTATAATAAGGAATTACAGGGCAGAAATCTAAGACTTGGGGAAAGGGATACCTGGGGGCATTTGCTGATCTGAAAGAGGGAGCCCATAGGTGTTTCTGAAAGCCTTTTTGAGCTAAGGGAGAATGTCAGAGTTCAGGCCCCACCCAGTACAGAGTATTGAGCCCCCAAATGGCTATGCCCTCAGAGTAGTGGTGAAACAAAAATAAACCAATCCTTGACCAGTCTGCAGTCTTCCTTTTTTTTTAACTTTTAAGTTCAGGGGTAAATGTGCAGGTTTGTTACATAGGTAAACTTGTGTCATAGAGTTTGGTTGTACAGATTATTCCCTCACCCAGGTATTAAGTCTAGTACCAATTAGTTATTTTTCCAGATCATCTCCCTCCTCCCACTCTCTACCCTCCAATAAGCCCCAGTATTTGTTGTCCCTTTCTATGTGTCCATGTGTTTTCATCATTTAGCTTCCACTTATAAGTGAGAATATATGGTATTTAACCACATATTTTGATAAATTAATGATGTATTTTGTAATTTCTCAAATGAATACTAAAAGAACAAGGAAAGAGCCTAACACTTTCAACTAAAAGATAAGGCAAGGAAATTAATGATTTTTTAAAAAATCAATCAGAACTCATGTTCTGTTCCTGTGTTAGTTTGCTAAGGATAATGGCCTCCAACTCCATCCCTGTCCAAATTTCAGTGGCCCCTAAAATTTCAAGCTGTGAAGCTTAGAGTAAGGATATTCTAGATTGTTAGCACCCCTCTTCAGAGGCAAATAATATCATCCTAAGTTTTAAATTATTTCAACAAATACTTTTTCAAACACAATGTCCAGCACTCACTGAAACATGGCAAGATACCATGGGCAAGAACAAGGAGTAATAAAAATATCCAATATAGCCACAGGCATAGTTAGACACAGTAAAACTATACTTAACATTTTCAAGGAGAAGAAAAGTAAGCTGTAAAATTTTAGTAGGAAACTGACAACTACAAAAAGTGACTGCAGATTTGAAAAAGAAACAAATTGAAATCCTAGAACTGAATAATTCATAAATAAAATTAAGAATTCAATGGGCAGAATTAACAATATATTGCACAGGTGAAGAGACGGTGAACAGAAAACAGGTCAGAAGCAACTCTCCAGAATGCAGCACACCTTCAGAAAATGGTAAAAAACACAAAAAAGAAGGTAAAAGACAGATAATTCCATGAGAGATTCTAAGTTTCAACATCTAGAAGAAGAGAAAAAGAATGGATAACAGGCAATGTTTGTGGAGATTTTGGCTTCAAATTTTCTAAAACTAATGAAAAATATCAATGATCAAATTTAGTAATACCAATAATTTGGAACCAGCAAAAATAAAGGCAAAATGAAGACATTTTTTAGGTACATGACTAATGGAAAGTTTTCACCACTAAGAGACCTGCACCCAAAAGACTTTGTAAAGGATGTTTTTAGAGAATGGGAAAATAATTGTTGAGAAAGATACAGAGGTCAAAAAATACAAATAATGAGCAAAGATATTTGGAAAGCTGTGAGTAAATCTCAATAAACATTGACAGTACAAAAAATAATAACACATAGGTTGGGAAGAATGTAAATGAAGCTAAGTGTTTTAAGCTCCTTGCTTCACCCAGGAAGGGAGCAAAATTATTCACTAATAATTTCGATAAATCAATGTTATATTTTTTAATTTCTCAGAAGAACACTAGAAAAATAAAGAAAAAGCCTAACACTTTCAACTAAAAGATAAGAAATAAAATTAATAATTTTTTTAAAAAATCAATCAGACGTCGACATGGCCAGAAGTTGTAAGTCCACAGGTCTTGGAGATACTTGCCTACCACAGGAACTCTCTTGGGAATCTGTGGCCAAGGTGGTCTCTAGCTGTCACAGTTGATATCAAATCAATTTGCTGGGAAAAGCAAGCATTCAATGAGTCTCTTCTTGTTTAAAATGCATCACTGATATGCTATTGGGGAGGTCCCAATTATTAATTAATCATTTCAACAAATTTGCTATGATAAGCATATTACACTCAGAATAGTCATTTCTTATATCCTGAAAAAGAATGGAAGACATGAGGTGAGTTCTTAGGAGACTCTGGCAGTAGTTCTCCTAATTTTAATGTTAGAAAATATAAGCTAGTAACAGCAGAAAGTTGGATTATTCTTGATAAATTGAAGATGTAATGACAAAGAGTGACACAAGGAGGCAACATAAAGTCTGACAGCAGGATTCTTTACCAAAGTGCCTTTCTACGCCCATAGGAAAATCAACCAAGTTAAAGATAACTAGCATAAAATTAAGGACATTGGTTATTAAGGTTACAGAAGACTGTACACCGCACAAACCACAAACTTTACAGATGTGACTACTTGATACTTTGATTTATGCCTCTATTTCAGCATCTCCCAACAGGTTACGATATGCAAAAGAATGAACTCCAGAATGGTATCTTGAATGCTTTCTATTCTGCTATATTTATTCTAGGGTTTGTTTGGTGTCTTTTCATGATCAAGGATCAAAGATCTCAATTAATCTTTTACCATCAATTTATGTTGACTACAGAGTTACTTGCTTCTGTCATCAAAATGTCTTTGAAGTTTGCTGTTTGCTTTTTATGTGTCAATATTCTGCAATTTTTGCTCTATTTGCATCTATGTGAAATGGCCTTTAAAACTTTGCTGCCTCTTATTCTGCAAGCAAAGTAAAAGGGACTAAAAGTGACTGAGAAATGATAAAATATTTATTCTTTTCATCTTCCAAATTACTAGTTGAAATTGCATGGAGAAATTATATAGGAAAAGTCTGACAAGAAACAATATAAAAATATATAATCATTTATTAATATTTATTATGTATTATAATAGACATATTTATTTATTAAGAAGTTAGCTGTAACTAATTTTTTGAAGAAATATTCCAAAACAACATTTCATTGTGAGGTTTGGTTGTAGTTTTAGCTCATGTTTGTCAAATCAAAGTCCCTTTTATGAAATACACATGAAATTTAGAAACAATTTTGGGAAAAATCAATGTATACATTGTCAACTATTAAATTTGCAAAGTTATATGAATGAAACACTAATTCACTAGTTTAAAACTATTCAGATAAAAGCATGTGTCCACTTTTTTTCCTGGCATCTATATACGTTTAGAAAATGTGATACAGATAAAAAGTTTCATCACTGAGTGACTACAAAATCTCACTCTAAATGAGCAAGGAAAGTGAGTACACTAAGTCTAACAGTTTAAGTTCTTCTTCCGAACAATGGTCTTAACAGCTTATTTGTAAACATTTAAGCTTGAGTTCTGTTGGGAATTTTCAAGAAAATATTAACTGTCTTTTAACAGTTCATAGTAATCCCCAGGTATAACTATTTACATTTAAATTTTAAAAAAGGTATTAGTATTAGAGACGCTTCTTTAGAAGCTTTGGAATGTAAATTTCTGTAAATTCAAAAAAGAGAACTCTGTAATTTTAACATTAAAAGAAGTATCTTTCCCTTGAAGTTGTAAAAAGTCCTTTTAAGTGCTGACATTAAGAAAAATATGAGTTACATGCAGAAAAAGCATTTGACAAAATTCCACATCTCTTCACAAAAAAACTCTCAACAAATTAGGTGTAGAAGAGATGTATCTCAACACAATAAAGGCCATATATGACAAAATTACAGCTAACATCATACTCAACAGTCAAATATTGAAAGTTTTTTCTCTAAGATCAAGAAGTAGTAGACCAGGATGCTCACACTATTTCTCTAAGATCAAGAAGTAGACCAGGATGCTCACTCTCACCATTTCTACTCAATATATTACTGGAAGTCCTAGAGAGGGCAATTAGGCAAGAGAAAGAAATATAAGGCATACAAATCGAAAAGGAACAAGTTAAATTGAATTTGTTTGCAGATGACATTATCATATATATAGAAAGCCCTAAAGACTCTACCAAAAAAAAAAAAATGAATTCAGTAAAGTTGCAGAACACAAAGTCAACACACAAAAGTATGTAGCATTTCTATACACTAACCATAAACTATCAGAAAAAGAAAATAATAAAACAATTTATAATAGCATCAAAAAAATACTTAGGAGTAAATTAACCAAGAAAGTGAAAGATCTGTATACTGAAAACTAAAAAACATTGATGAAAGAAATTGAAAAATACACAAATAAATGGAAAGATATCCTGTGTTCAAGGATTGAAAGAATAAATAGTGTTAAAATGTCCATACTACATTTCTTAGTTCCTTTTGTGCTGTTATTGCAGAATACCACAGACTGAGCAATTTATAATGAACAAAAATTTATTTCTGTTCTAGGGTCTGAGAAGGCCAAGATCAAGGTGCTGGCATATGGAACAAGGGCCTTCTTGGTGTGTCATAAAATGGCAATAAGAGCAAAGAGAGGGAGAGACAGGGAGAGAGAGAAAGAGAGGGGAGAGAGAGAGTGAAGGGAGCCAAACTCACCCTTTTATGACAAACCCACTCCCATAAAAACAAAAAAAAACCATCAATCCACTCATGAAGGTGTAGACCTCGTGGCCTAATTACCTCTTAAAGCCTAATTACCCACTTTAAGGCAAATATTCATAGCATTCCACCCAACTCCCCAAAACTAATGTCTTTCCTACATACAAAATACATTGATTCTACCTCAATAGCCCTAAAAGTCTTAATGTGTTCTAGCACAAACTCAAAAGTCCAAAGTCTCATCTTCAACATCATATGTGTGAGATTCAAGGCACAATTCATCCTAAGGCAACTTGCTCTTCAGCCATGAGCCTATGTAATCAAACAAGTTGTCTACCTCTAAAACACAGTGGTCAGATAGACACAAGATAGACATTCTCCTTCCAGAAGGGAGAAAAAGGCAAGAAAAAAGGGATAGCTGGTCCCAAGTAAGTCCAAAACCCAATAGGGTGAACAACATCAAATCCTAAGGCTCCAGAATAATCTTCCTTGCCTCTATGTCCCACCTTATATGCACACTGGAATGGGAATTGGGTCCCCATGGCCTTGGACAGCCCTGCCCTATGGCTTTGTTGGGTTCAGCCCACACAGTAGCTCCCACAGGTTAGAGTCTCATACCTGCAGCTCTCCCAGGCTGGCATTGCACACTGGCAGTGCTACTGTTCTGGAGTGGGCTGCCGCCACCCCCAGGGCTCCAGCAAGCATAGTTCTAGTGGAGATTCTCTTTGGCAGCTATTTCCCTGTGGCATGTTTTCATCTGAGTCCAAAGACTGTTCAATACATCCTTTGAAACCTAGGTTGAGACCTCCACAGTCCCACAACTCATGTACTCTGCACCTCTCCAGGGTTATCACCATGTGAATTCTGCCTACATTCACAGCTGTTCCATCCCCAGTGGTGGTCAGAGCAGCACTTGGGCCTTCTTGAGCCATAGCTGGGGCAGTGGAGAAGTGTTGTTCTGGAATGTGAGGAGCAGATACTTGAGGAGGGACAGGGCAGCAAAAGCTGAAGCCCCATGGGTGCCCTGGGCCCCTCTCCAGAAACCTTGCCCTCAAGACCCTGGCTTGGTCCAAAGATTTCTGAAATACCACTGGAGTCATTCTATTGTCTTAGTGAATAGCACCTGACATTTTTCTAGCCATATCAATCCCTTCAGCAGTCACTTGGCAACATCGTTAGGATTCTCTCCCGAACATGCTTTTAAAATTTTTTACATTGCCAGGCTGACAATTTTCCACATCTTTTCATTCTGCTTCCATTTTAATTATTAATTCCACCTTTAAATCATTTCTCTTTCCTTGAATTTTACTATATGCGGTTAAAAGACGCCACATAGATCCTTCAATGCTTTTCTGCATAGATATTCCTCCAGCCAGATATCCTAGTTCATTGCTTTGCCTGGGCACAGACACAATGTAGCCAAGTTCTTTGCCACTTTATAACAAAGATGATGACCATCCCTCCAGAGCCAGTACCCCAGTACCTTGATTTTTATTTCTGAGATCTCATCAGAATTACCTTAACTGCCCACATTTCTACCAACATTAGGATGGCAACCACTTAAGTAACCTCTAAGAGGTTTCAGGCTTTAGCTACAGCTCTTCTTGCCAGAGCCCTCACCAGAATTACTCTTAATACCTCATTTACAGCAACCTAGGTTTTTTCCTAACCTCCTCTTCTAAATTTTTTCAGCTTCTACCCCTTACTCAATTTCAAAGCTGCCTCTACATTTTCAGGTATTTGTTATAGAAACAGCCCCTCTTCTTGATACCAATTTTATATCTTTGCATTCTGCTACTATAACAGAATATCACAGACTGGATAATTTATGAGAAACAGAAACTTATTTGTCACAGTTCTGGAGCCTGGGAAGTGTAAGACTACAGTATCAGCATCTAGCAAGGGCCTTCTTGAGGTGTCATAACATAGCATAAGGGCAAAGAGAGGGTGACAGAGAGAGAGAAGGAACTGAACTCATCCTTTTTAACAACCCAATCCCGAAATAACAGTATTTATTCATTCATGAAGGGAGAGCATTCATGGCCTAATCAATTCTTAAACATCCCACTTCCTAATATTATTACAATGGCAATTAAATTTCAATGTGAGTTTTGGAGGGAACAAACATTCAAACTATAGAATTACCCAAAGCCAGGCAGGGGCATGGTGGCTCATGCCTGTAATCCCAGCACTTTGGGAGGCCGAGGCAGGTGGATAACAAGGTCAGGAGTTTGAGACCAGCCTGACCAACATGGTGAAACCCCATCTCTACTAAATATACAAAAATTAGTTGGGCACAGTGGCAGGCATCTATAATCCCAGCTACTTGGGAGGCTGAGGCAGGAGAATTGCTTGAACCTGGAAGGTGGAGGTTGCAGTGAGCTGAGATCATGCCAGTGCACTCTAGCCTGGGAAAAGAGCAAGACTTTGTCTTAAAAAAAAAAAAAGAATTACCCAAAGCCATGTTACAGATCCAATGCAATCTCCAACAAAATTTCAATGGCATTTTCCACAGAAATCACAGTCCCTGATTTCAAAATATATTACAAAGCTATAGGAATCAAAACAGCATGGTACTGGCATAAAAACAGACACATCGACACATAGAGGAATAGGATAAAGAGCTCCAAAGTAAACCTACATATTTACAGTCAATTGATTTTCAACAAAGATGCCAAAAATGCAAAACAGGGAAAAAATTGTCTTTTAAATAAACAGTATTGTGAAAACTGGCTAGTCACATAGAGAAGAATAATATTGGGCTCTTCTCTCAAATCATATACAAAAATAAACTCAAAATGTTAGATTAAAGACTTAAATGTAAGACTTGAAACTGTGAAACTATTAAGAAAAACACATAGGGAAAAAGCTCCATGATGTTGGTCTGGGCAATAATGTTTTCAATATTACCTCAAAAGTATAGGCAACAAAAGTAAAAATAGACAAATGAGGTTATGTCAAACTAAAAAGCTTCTTCTTTTGTCTAAAAATAGACAAATGAGGTTATGTCAAACTAAAACGCTTCTTTCACAGGAAAAAAATTAACAGGGTAGAGAGACAACCCATGGATTAAGAGAAATTATTTGCAAACCATACATCTGATAAGGGGCTGATATTCAATATGTATAAGGAAGTCAAACAACTCAATAGCAAGAAAATAAGCCATTTTTGCAGAGAATTCATATAAATGGCCAACAGATATATGAAAAGGTGCTAAACATCACTAATCATCAGAGAAATGCAAATTAAAACCACGGTGAGATATCACCTCACACCTGCTAGAATGGCTTTTATCAGAAAGATGAAAAATAGGCCAGATGTGGGGGCTCACACCTGTAATCCCAGCACTTTGGAAGGCTCAGGAGGGCAGATCACTTGAGGTCAGAAGTTCGAGGCCAGCCTGGCCAACATGGTGAAACCCCGTCTCTACTAAAAATACAAAAATTAGGTGGGTGTGGTGGCACGCACCTGTAATCCCAGCTACTTGAAAGGCTGAGGCAGGAGAATTGCTTGAACTAAGGAGGCAGAGGTTGCAGTGAGCTGAGATTGGGCCACCGCACTCCAGCCTGGGTGACAGAACAAGACACTGTCTCAAAAAAAAAAAAAAAAAAAAAAAGAAACAAGTTTTGGCAAGGATGTGGAAAAAGATGAGCTATGAAAACAAAAAGTTATATTAAAACCAGTGAAAATAGGCATTAAGCCAAAAAACATTACCAGTAATAAAGATGGTCACTTGCATTTCAAAAGATTCAATCCACTAAGAAAACAAAGCAATAGTAAATTTAATATCAACCAATAACAAAACACAAATAGTTCTAATAGCATAAATTCTAAGTATCAAAATCAAAATGTTGAAAGGAGAAATAGACAAATTTACATCAATACTGTGAATCCTAATACATCTTTTCAATAATTCACATCACAAAGGCAAATACCATAAAGGCCCCAAAACAAGCCTCAACAATTGCAAAAGACTAGGGTGCTAGACCTTATTTTCTAATAGCACAACTTACTAGAAAACATGTTGTTAAAAACAACAGTAGAGATTTTGCTAGTTAAGATAGAATAACAGGGACAAGATTTACCTTTTTATTATAGCAACTAGAAAATCAGACAAAGTATATGAAACAACAATTTTCAGACATTGGATGAAAAGCAATTCAACACCATAATCCATGAAGAAAGGGAAACAAGCAAAATGAGCCCTACTATTCCACAGGCTTAGGTCCTAAGAGGCAGTTTCCAGGCTACAGCGGGGAAGAAAGGCTACGGGGGGAAGGGAAAATTCAAACAGGGTTGGGCATCTTGCTATGAGGAGATGGAAGCTTGGGAAAACCAAGACAGCTAGAATTACATAAGAAAGAGCACAGGAGAGGAGGGAACTACAAAAAAAGAGTTCCACAAATCTGCAGAGGCATACTTTTGAGTCTGTGGCTAAGGAAACTACACAGTAAAGAAAAGCCTCTGGAATAGAGTAATCAAAACAATTTCCTAAGCACACAAAACTGAGAATAGGTTGTACGCACACCTGCCAGAGTGAATAGATCTTATAATTGATGAGGCATTGAGTAAAATCTTCAGAAGTGTATTGCCTAAGTAGCAGGGTTATATCAGCCATAGATTAAAGGCCTAACAAAATTAAAACCAAACCTTATAACATTCCAATTGCTACAAAGTAACATTGCAAACCAAAACAGCATCTAATAGTATTAAAAGGAAAACAAAATCTAGCACCAGCAACGTACAATTCACAATGTCTAGCATCCAATCAAAATTGCCAGGTTGGAAAAAGTAGAAAACTATGGCTTACAATAAGGGAAAATATCAGTCAATAGGAACAGTCTCAGAAACAGAGATGATGAAACTAATGAACGAGGATGTTAAAAATGTCTCATATTTCAAGAAGGAAAAGAAAGACATGAACATGCTGAGAAAAGAAATGGAAGATATTTTAAAGGACCTAAATCAAACTTTTAGACATGAAAAAATATAATATCTAAAATGTAAAATACACTAAATGGAAGTAACATCATAATAGGTACTATAAAAGAAGAGATCAGTGATTTAAAGACATAGCCATAGAAACTGTCCAAAATAAAGAACACAGAAAAAAAAGACTAAATAACAAACAAAAGAAATTGAACATCACTGATCTGTGGAAAATATCAGGTATTCTAACAAATATGTAATTAGAGTACAAGAAGCAGAGGGTCAGTGAACAGAAAAAAATTTTTGAATAAACAATATCTTTTAAATTTTATGGAAAAAATATAATCCACAAATCCAATCTTAATGAATGCCAATCAAAAGAAACATTAAAAATGCTAAGGAATATAACCAAATTGCTAAACACCATTGATAAAAATCTTAAAAACAGAGAAAAAAGACACAGGATAAAGAAGTGAACTAGGAAGTGCAGTTTGAAGATATAGAACAAAAAGCTGGCATTATCAGAACATGTAGACAACGGACAAAGTTAAGGGGCACAATATTTAACATTGTCATTTTTCTAATGTATTGTTGTAATGTACATAACTTTCTTTGGTGTCACACGCACACACAGGTACACACACACATTCTTTTTTTTTTTTAACCCCTTTAAGAAAATACATTGGGCCTGAATAGTTTTTTATGCATTACTTTTTCATCCTTCCTCTTCTACTTAGATTATAAATTACTAGAAGACAGACTTTCTCTTAGACTTGATCATTTCCCTGCAAGAATGCTCTACAGACATTCATTTAATATGTGTTGATTTTTTCTTCCCAATGTATTTGCTGTTATATATAGGCAAAAGATAGCTGAAGGGTCCAGGAAGTATCACAGAAAAAGTAGAACCATGAGGATTTCTTTTCACTATGATTCCAAATTTCCTACTAAATGTCTCATGAGAATTATTTTAGATAAGGCATTTAAGAGGTGGGGAAAGCTTTTGGAGAAAAGCTATGAGTAATACCCCAGGACTTGATATCTCTGCGTGCCCTGTAGAAAGAGTGCTCTAAGCACATCCCCAGTCCCTACACAGCCTGATTAAAATTGTCCCTTTTTCTTTTACATTCTCTGCCAGTATTCCTCCCCACCAAATATAAATGAGGGGAATAGTGCACCCAAATTTATCAAACAGCCACCCCAGCACACAGCAATCCTCAGCACACATGGCCTAACCCACATAGAGTTGGCCAGCAAAACTCTCCAACCAGTGTGCACCCTCACTTTGTCTCATTAGCATGCTAGTAGAGCCACAATGATGATTTATTCAAGCTAAGCCCAAATCTTTCATAAAGAAAAAAAGGCAAGGGTGGCCTGGTTAAAAGAGAAGAAGAAAGGATAGAGTCAGAGTTCCCATAAGAACCTAATTTAAATTCTGACCTGGATCTTCATTGATCTCACAAAAGAAACATAAAAAGAACTAGAAAGGGGAGGGGAAAAGGCAGCCTTGGACAGAGCATGGCAAATTGGAAAAGAAACCTGCACACATTCCCTAAAGACAATTAGCTTAATTATTTCTATAGTCATCCACTGCATTCAGTGCATATTGATCGACTTCACTACTAATTAGACTAAATGACCTTGAACATTTCTATACAATCAGTTTCATTCTATAGAAAACTTATTTTCAGTGGTATTTTGATACATGCTAGAAGAGATTCTTTAGATATTTAAAACTAAGAAAGGGGAATACAATATTTAACACTTGTGAAGGAAAAGGTAAAGAAAATACTATGCAAACTATTATATAATTTTCTCAAATTATGAAATTCCATAATCCTATATTCGACCTCCATATATTTACAGCTATATATGAACTTCAATTTCAGCTTTTATAAGTGTGCTTTAAAGAGATCAAAGCTTGTGCCATTTCAGAAAAAGTAATTTGATATTGAATAATGATATTATAAGGAAATTAATAATGAACTTATAATTAACTAATAATTTATTAAATAAAAAATTAAGAAAAACAAAATATATGAAGAATGTTTCTAGTAATTAGATCTGGGGTTCTGGGGTCCTGAAATGGACTGAAATGAAACGGACTACTGAGCAGCTTATTACTGGAAACCCTCAAAGAGTTGATAGGTGATTAAAGAAGATGGAAAGGGTATTACTGCATTGCAAAGGCGACTGGACTAGATGATTCCACAGGTCCCTTCCAAACATGCCACATGTATTGTGCACTTGCACTTCTAGTTAAGGTAACATGGAAATCAAGGCTGAGTGTAGCACAAATATTGAGGGAACGTGGCCTTTAGGCAAGGAAGAAATCCCTGTCCGATTTCCTTTGTTTTGAGCACTGTAGTGGTAAATCTGCTGTTATGACTGGATAAATCTATGGAGCCTGAAACACAGGCCCCAGTCTGCTAACTACAAGATGGCTGTTAAATGCAAAGACCATCATGCAAAGACCTTCATGCATTCCCCTCTTTCTGCTCAAGAGGTGACCTACAATCTCCATGGAGAGAGGACCTACACGCATCAGCTTCTCCTCCAAGAGGCATCCATACAGAAACCTGTGTGGAACTTATCCCTCCTGCTTGTAACTGCACTAAACTTCAAGTGTCATTGTTCTCTACAATTGACTTCGTGCGGTTAATTTGGAGAGTAGAGATCAATCCAGTACAATTGCAATCTCAATATGGGGTACCATGAGAAAACAGCCTTGGGATGAGACATGCTCAGGGAAGCGGCCAGGGCTGCCATGTAGGATTATTCATTTACATACTACACAAGGACTCCATATTCAAAGGGCAGCATACACATCACAGACAGCTTTGCTATTTTGAACTATTGTCAGATTATTATTTTAACATTATTGATTCAGAAAATGGGCAACTTGTGTATTTATAGTGATAAATTTTTAGCAGATAGCAACACCATATCTTCTAACAAAAATCAGTATATTGAAACTTTTTCCTGACAAAGGATCAACAAGTCTGATAATCAAGGATCTTGTTAGTCAAACATCTAAATAACCTGTGTTTTCACATGAGGAACTGCATTTCTGACTAGTATACTGATAGATAAGCCTCTGAAAATGTAAGCAAAAAGTCTTCTGTTGGTGTTAGTGCAAAGGTTAAATGTGATGCTATATAGTACAGTTCATATCATCTATCTGTTTACTATATTAGAACAGTATTGCTGAATTCTTAATTTAAATCTATGAATACTTTCATGATGATGTAAGTAATGAATATTCATTTCCCATTAGTAATATACAAGGTAAGTATTACTTAGACATAAATTAGAGATTACTGTGCAATCATCCACTTAATATGGCAATTGATTGTTTTGGTTATGGAAATTCTGACAGTACAAACATTAACTGCCATTAAAATGTTGCTGTCTCCTACCATATAGATATTATTTATGCTAATATAAAATGTGCAGGAACTAAAATTCAATCAACAGTGCCTTTAAAATAATTAAATGAAGTGAGAAATTCTTTGACAAAACATGAAGCAATGCTGTTTGATAAAATTATATTATTGATGTTAAACCAATTGTAGTTTCTTGACTCTGAAATCAACTTCCCCAACATTAAATTACCATAAAAAGGGGAAAGAAGATTTAATTTACCTATAAATCTCACAGCAGTCCGGCTATGATCCAAAACAAAATTTCAAAATCAATTTTTTTCTTATCTTGGATGTAACATTCTCCTTAAAAGAAAGGCTTACGATAATGAAAGAATATCATGCCTTTTCCAGTGGATTAGATGTTTGCTATTCAAAGTGTAGTCCATGACAGGCAACAAAAGCAAAAATAAAGTAGAACTACATCAAACTAAAGTTTCTTCACCACAGAGAAAATAATCAACAAAACAAGGTTCCCACCCCTGCCAAGAAGATGGCAGATTAGAGGCTTTCAGCACGCTACAGACACTTGGAAATAGAAAAATCGTGTGTAAAGATTGACTCTGAGCTTTAATTCAAGAAGAAAAATAGGAATTCACCAGAATAGCAAAGTACATTTCAGATCCTGGGGAAGAGAATGTGGACAAACAGCCCCCATGATGACATTTGCCTGCTAAATGTGAGTGAAGCCCCACCCCAGTACCTGAGAAGGGCAGAGAGTCTTCCTCTGTAACTCACCTTTCCACTAGGAATCTGTGCATTCCGGGCTGAGGGGGAATACGTTTTTTCTCCCGAGCCCTGGGACTACCCTGGGGAGATACTGTGAGACAGAGAGAGGGAATGATGCTGGTAAAAGCTGCAAGCATCTTCCCAGACCCAGGACTGAGAGGAGGATGCCATTTTTAATCTGGACTCACACAAAGTCAGTCATGGTTGGCAACCTGACAGCAGCAGCTGCTGCAGGCATTTTAGCCTCAGGCCAGAGATTGGAGCACTTGCTCTGCAGCAGGTGAAGGGCCCTCATAGCCAGAATTAAGCAGCAAGTGTGGAGTGCATGCCAGCAGGAGTAGGTGCTGGATCGGGCTCTCTCCCATTGCAGGACTGGAACAGGAGAAAACTTGCTGAAGCCAAGGTTTCTCCTGCACAGTGAGACTTGCAGCCAGGGACAGCTTTGCAACCTGAAATTGGTCTGCATGTGTCATTGCTGGATGCCCCAGCCTACACCCTTGGTCATTCAGGGGAGAGTACCCTACCATTTGCGAGGAGTGGGAGACAGGAAGACCCCATTCATATTCATCTGAATTGGGAGCGTAAGCCAAGCCTTCCTTCCCCTGCAAAGATCTGGGTGCAGTGGTGCCCCATCCACGGGACATTCCCAGGCATTTGGAGTACCCATTTGCCTAGATTAGCAGCCTAAGTTGCCCCCTCCCTTCCCATGCAGATCCTGATGCAGTGGTAGTTTCTCCACTCCATGCACAGGCATGTTTCCAGGCATTTGGAGTACCTGCCCACCTGGATCAGCAGTGTAAGCCACTACTCTCTTCCTGTGCAGATATTGGTGCAGTAGTGCTTCCTCCACTCCACATCCAGGAATATTTCCATTCATTCAGAGCAGCTGCTCACCTGGATTATTAGCTTGGACCACCTCTTTCTTCCCATGCAGAGATCTTGTTGCAGTGGCACACTCTCTGCTCCACATCCGGACATATCTTCAGGTTTTTGGTGCACCTTCCCCCTTGGAATAGGAGCTTGAGCTGCCACTCCCTTCCCACATGAAGAACTTGGTGCAGGAGCACTCCCTCTATGCCATACCCAGATGTAACCGGAGGTATCTGGCACAACCACTCCTACAGATTAGAAGTTTAAGTCGCCCTGCCATTCCCATGCAACTACCTTGTTGTGGCAATGGTTTCTGTTCTCCTTCCCCAGGCATATTACCAAATTTGAAGGGCATCTGCTACCCCAAATTAGGAGCTTGAGCTGGCCCTATCCTCCCCTGCAAAGACCTTGTTGCAACAACAATATCTTTGCTCTTTGCCAGGGCATATTTCCAGGCATTTGGCACATTCATTGTTTTGGGTTACAAGGCTGAGCCGTCCCTTCCTTCTGGTGCAGAGAACTTGGTGCAGCTGTACTCTTTCTACTTGATGTCCAGATATATCTGCAGGCATTTGGAGCATCCACTCTTACAGGTTAGGAATTCAGGCCATCCTCCCCCATTCTTATGCAGAGAACATAGGACAGCAGAGGCACACCATGTACACTTGGCAACTGCCCACTGGACCCCCTCAGAGCTGATGCTTGCACCTGTCACTGGGGGACCTGCATATGGGCCTGCCTGGTCTGGCACCACCTATCTTGGTTCCCCCATTCTGCGACTGAGCAGAGAGCTCAGATCACTGAACATTCCACAGATCAGCCCATTGTGTGAAGAAACAGAGAGTTTCTCCCAGTACACAAAGATCAAGTGTGTACCCATCTGCATTGCCTGCATCCAGCTTTTACCCATAAGCACCACCTATTGGACTGGAGGTTGAACTGCACAACACCAAAGAAAATCTGACATAAGTGCACAGCACTGGGGAATGAGATACACCTCCTGAGACTCTCACTACCCTTGCACCACAGGAGGCAGTGAGCCTGTTCACACACCAAGTACATCTCTACCCAACCAGCATTTGGAAAAGTAACCATAAAAAGGCTATCTATAACAAAAGAACATATACAGACCCTTTGCCACTGAAAGCACCCAGAACCAAAGGCAAAGGACCCTACACAACATACATTATATCATCCAAACCTCTGAGTTTATAGGTATTCGAGAGGGAGAAGAAAAAGTTTAAAGTGTGGAAAACTTATTTGAGGAAATAATTCAAAAAACTTCCCTGGTTTTGGGAGACATTTAGACATCCATACACAAGAAGCTCAGAAAATTTCTGGAAGGTACATTGCAAGAAGAACCTCACCAAGGCATATAGTCATCATACTATCCAAAGTCAGTATGAAGGAAAAATACCCAAGAGTGGCAAGAAAAGTATCTAATCACCTATAAAGAAAATCCCAACAGACTAACAGTGGACTTCTCAGCAGAAATCCCACAAGCCTGAAGAGACTGGGAGCATATTTTTAGTCTCCTTAGAAAAGAAGTGTCAGTCAAGATTTTTTTTTCCAGTTTTTTTCTTTTTCTTTTTTTTTTTTTGGTTTGTTTGTTTGTTTGCAGAGACAGGGTCTCACTTTGTTGCCCAGGCTGGTCTTGAACTCCTTGCTTCAAGTAATGTTCCTGCCTTGGCCACCAAAAGTGCTGGGATTACAGGCATGAGACACTATGCCTAGCTAAGAATTTTATATCCTACCAAATCAAGCTTCATAAGTTAAGGAAAATAAATTCTTTCTCAGACAAACAAATGCTAAGGACATTCACTGATACTAGAATGACCCAACAAGAAAAGCCCAAAGGAGTTCTAAACATGAAAACTAAAGGATGATACTTGCCATCATAAAAGGACATATAAGTACAAAGCTCATAATCCTAGAAAGCATTGAAACTCCAACACAACAGGCTAAAAACTTTATGACAGGTACAAAACCTCACATATCAATATTAATCTTGAATCCAAATAACCTAAATATTCTACACAAAAGCTACAAAGTGGCAAATTGTATTTAAAGACAGACACAGACTCAAAACAAAGGGGTGTGTGATGGTTAACACTGAGTGTCAACTTGATTGGATCGAAGGATGCAAAGTATTGATCCTGGGTGTGTCTGTGAGGGTGTTGCCAAAGGAGATTAACATTTGAGTCAGTCGAGTGGGAAGGGCAGATCCACCCTTAATTTGGGTGGGCACAATCTACTCAGCTGCCAGCATGGCCAGAATAAAAATTGGGCAAAAAAAAAAAACAGAAAAGGAGCTTGTGCAGGAATCCCACATTTTTAGAACCATCAGATCTCGTGAGACTCATTCACTATTATAAGAACAATGCAGGAAAGACACACCCCCATAACATGATCGCCTCCCATAACACGAGAGAATCGTGGGAGTTACAATTCAAGATGAGATTTGGCTGGGGACAAGCCAAATCATATCAGGGTGGAGAAAGATATATGATGTAAAAGGAAAACAAAAGGAGCAGGAATAACCATTCTTACATCAGATTAACACACACTTGAAACCAATAATGTTAAAAAGAAGG
Source organism: Homo sapiens (assembly GCF_000001405.40). NCBI lineage: Eukaryota > Metazoa > Chordata > Mammalia > Primates > Hominidae > Homo > Homo sapiens. The sequence continues at coordinate 38,620,389 of NC_000014.9, forward strand.
CAAAAAATGTAGTATATAATAATAAAGTCTTCAATAAAACAAGATTTAACTATCCTTAATATGTATGTACTCAATACTGGAGCACCCAGATTCATAAAACAAATACTACTAGATCTAAGAAAACAGATTGATAGCAATACAATAATAGTGGGGAACTTCGATAACCCACTGACATCACTAGACAGATCACTGAGTCCAAAAATCAACAAAGAAACTCTGGACTTAAGCCAGACTGTAGACCAACTGGGCCTAGTAGACATTTCTAGAACATTTCATCCAATAATCACAGAATATGCAAGCTTCTCACCTACATATGGAACATTCTCCAAAATCAGCCATATGCTTGGCCATAAAGCAAATCTCAATAAGTTCAAAAAAAAATCAAATTATATCAAGTAGCATCTCAGACAACAGTGGAATAAAATTAGAAATCAATGCCAAGAGGAACTCTCAAAACTACACAAGTACTTGAAAACTAAACAACTTGCTCCTAAATAACCTTTGAGTAAACAATGAAATTAAGGCAGAAATCAAAAAATTTTCTGAAACAAATCAAAATAAAGACACAACATAAAAAAACCTCTGGGACACAGCAAAAACAATGCTAAAAGTAAAGTTTATAGTATTAAATGCCTACAGCAAAAAGACCGACATATCTCAAATTAACTACCTAATCTTGTTGACATAGTTTGGCTCTGTATCCCCACCCAAATCTCACCTTGCAGCTCCCATAATTCCCATGTGTTGTGGGAGGGATCCGATGGAAGATAACTGAATCATGGGGGCGGGTCTTGCCAGTGCTGCTTTTATGATAATGGATAAGTCTTGCAACATTTGATGGCTTAAAAAAATGGGAATTTGCCTGCACAAGTTCTGCCATCCATGTAAGATGTTACTTGCCTCTCCTTGTCTTCCACCATGATTATGAGGCCTCCCCAGCCACACGGAACTGTGAGTTCTCCATTAAAACTCTTTCATTTGTAAATTGGCCAGTTTCAGGTATGTCTTTATAGGCAGCATAAAAATGGACTAATACAGTAAATTGGTATCAGTAGAGTGGGGTGCTGCTGAAAAGATATCAAAAATATGGAAGCAACTTTGGAGCTGGGTAACAGGCAGGGGTTGAAACAGTTTGGAGGGCTCAGAAGAAGACAGGAAAACATGGGAGAGTTTGGAACTTCCTAGAGACTTGTTGAATGGCTTTGACCTAAATGCTCATAATGATATGGACAATGGAATCCAGGCTGAGGTAGTATCAGATGAAGATGAACTTTTTAGGATCTGGAGCAAAGGTAACTCTTGTTATGTTTTAGCAAAGAGACTGGTGGCATTTTGCCCCCGCCCTAGAGATTTGTGGAACTTTGAACTTGAGAGAGATGATTTAGGGTATATGGTGGAAGAAATTTCTAAGCAGCATTCAAGATGTGACTTGGGTGCTGTTAAAGGCATTCAGTTTGATAAGGGAAGCAGAACACAAAAGTTCAGAAAATTTGCAGCGTGACAATGTGATAGAAAAGAAAAACCCATTTTCTGAGGAGAAATTCAAGCCAGCTGCAGAAATTTGCACAAGTAATGAGGAGCTGAATGTTAATCCCCAGGACAATGGGGAAAATGTCTCCAGAGCATGTCAGAGGTCTTCATGGCAGCCCCTCCCATCACAGGCCCAGAGGCCTAGGAGAAAATGATTTTGTGGGCCAGGCCCAGGGTCCCCATGCTGTGTGCAGCCTGGGGATTTAGTGCCCTGCGTCCCAGATGCTCCAGCCTCGGCTGAAAGGGACCAACCTAGAGCTCCAGCCATGGCTTCAGAGAATTCAAGCCCCTAGCCTTGGTAGCTTCCATGGGGTGTTGAGTCTGTGAGTGCACAGAATTCAAGAATTGGGGCTTGGGAACCTCTACCTAGATTTCAGAAGATGTATGGAAATACCTGGATGCCCAGGCAGAAGTTTTCTGTGGGGTGGGGTTCTCATGGAGAACCTCTGCTAAGGCAGTGAGAAAGGGAAATGTGGGGTTGGAGCCCCCACACAGAGTTCTTACTGGGGCACCACCTAGTGGAGCTGTGAGAAGAAGGCCATCGTCCTCCAGACCCCAGAATGGTAGATCCACCAATAGCTTGCACCGTTTGCCTGGAAAAGCCACAGACATGCAATGCCAGACCATGAAAGCATCCAGGAGGGAGGCTGTAACTGGCAAAACAGCAGGGGAGGAGCTGCCTAAGACCTTGGGAACCCACCTTTTGCCTCAGCGTGACCTGTATATGAGACATGGAGTCAAAGGAGATCATTTTGGAGCTTTAAGACTTGACTGCATCGCTGGATTTTTGACTTGCATGAGGCCTGTAGCCTCTTTCTTTTGGTCAATTTCTCCCACTTGGAATAGCTGGATTTACCCAATGCCTGTACCCCCATTGTATCTAAGAACTAACTAACTTGCTTTTGATTTTGTAGGCTCATAGGCGGAAGGGACTTGCCTTATCTCAGATGAAACTTTGGAATGTGGACTTTTGAGTTAATGCTGAAATGAGTTAAGACTTTGGGGGACTGTTGGGAAGGCATGACTGGTTGTGAAATGTGAAGACATGAGATTTTGTGGGGGGCGGACGGGAGAGGAATGGGGACGGGGTGTCCCCATTCAAATCTCATCTTATAGCTCCCATAATTCCCACATGTTGTGGGAGGGACCCAGTGGGAGATAATTGAATCATGGGAGCAGGTATTTCCTTTGCTGTTCTCAGGATAGTGAATAAGTCTCATGACACCTGATGGCTTTAAAAAAAAAAATGCAAGTTTGCCTGCACAAGTTCTCTCTCTTTGTCTGCTGCCATCCACATAAGATGTGACTTTTTTATCCTTGCCATTAAACCTCTTTCCTTTGTAAATTGCCCAGTCTTGGGTACGTCTTTATCAGCAGTGTGAAATGGACCTATACACTTGTACATCAAGAAACTAGAAAAACAAGAAGAAACCAAACCCAAAGCTGGGAGAAGAAAAGAAATAACAAAGATCAGAGTAGAGCTAAATGAGATTGAGAACCAAAAAATGACACAAAGGATCAATGAAACAAAAAGATGGTTCTTTGAAAGGATTAAAAAAATGACAGACTGCTAGCTAGTTTAACCAAGAATAAAAAGAGAGGGAAATTAAATAAGTACAATCAGAAATGATAATGGTAGTGTTACAACTGACACCAGGGAAATACAAAAGATCATCAGAGACCACTACAAACACCTCTATGCATACAAATTAGAAAACTTAGAGGAAATGGGAAAATTCCTGGAAACATACAAACTCCCAAGATTGAACCATAAAGAAATAGAATTCCTGAACAGACCAATAATGAGTAATAGAATTGAATCAGTAATAAGAAATTTTCTAACAACAAAAAAATCCCAGGGCCAAATGGATTCACAGCTGAATTTTACTACACATACAAAGAAGAGCTGGTACTAATCTTGCTGAAATTATTCCAAAACATCGAAGAGGAGGAATTCCTCGCTGACTCATTCTGTAAAGCCAGTATCACACTGACACCAAAGCCAGGCAAGGACACAACAGAAACAAAACTACAGGCCAAATCCCTGATGAACATAGGTACAAAAATCCTCTGAAAAATACTAGCAAACTGAATCTAGCAGCATATCAAAAATATAATGTATTATGATAAACTGGGTTTTATGCCAGGGATGCAAGGATAGTTCAACATATGCAAATCAACAAATGTGATGTGATTGAACTAAAACCAAAAACCATACAATCACCTCAATAGATGGCAGAAAACCCATTTGATAAAATTCAACATCCCTTCATGATAAAAAAAAAACAAATCTCCTTACGAAACTAGGCATCTAAGGAACACAGCTCAAAATAACAACCACATATGACAAATCCACACTGAACATCACACTAAATAAGGGAATGTTGAAAATATTTGTCAGAACTGGAACAAGACAAGGATGTCCATTCTCATCACTTTTATTCAACATAGTAATGGAAGTCCTAGCCAGAGCAATTGGGCAAGGGAAAGAAACAAAAGGCATCCAACTTGGAAAGGATGAAGTCAAATTATCTTTGTTTACTGGTGACATGATTATATACCAAGAAAACCCTAAAGACTCCTTTAAAATATTCTTAGATTTGATAAACGACTTCAGTAGTTTCAGGATACAAAATCAATATACAAGAATCAGTAGCATCACTATACACCAACAATGTTCAAGCTGAAAACCGAATCAAGAACTCAATCTCATTGACAGTAGCCACAAAAACACAAAATACCTAGGAATAACTTTAACCAAGGAGGTGAAAGGTCTCTACAAGGAAAACCACAAACATTGTGAAAGAAATTGTACACGACATAAATGGGAAAACATGCCATGCTGATGGCTAAGATGAATTAATATTGTTACAATGTTCATACTACCCAAAGCAATCTACAGATTCAATGAAATCCTTATCAAGTTACCAATGTCATTTATCAAAGAATTATAAAAAGCTATTCTAAAATTCATGTGGAACCAAAAAAGAGCCCAATTAGTCAATGCAATCCCAAGAAAACACATTGCCTTTCTTCAAATTATATACAAGTCTATAGTAACCAAATCAGCATACTAGTACAAAAACAGACATGTAGATCAATGAAATATAATAGAGAACCCAGAAATAAAGTCACATACCTACCACCAACTGATCTTTGACAAAGTCAACAAAAATAAACAACAGGGAAAGTATACCCTATTAAATAAATGGTACTGAAAAAATTAGCTAGCCATACATAGAAAAATTGAAACTGGACCATCTCAAGATGAATTAATCCATCTTGAGATGGATTAAAGACTTAAATATAAGACCTCAAACTATAAAAATACTGGAAAAAAACTAGAAAAAATTTTCTGGACACTGCCCTAGGCAAATAATTTATAATGAATTTATGATGAAGACCCTTCAAATTATGTACAAAGTTATATTACCAAAATAGCATGGTATTGGCATAAAAACACATAGACCAATGGAACAGAATAGAGAGGCCAGAAATAAATTTACCCACCTACAGCTAGTTGATTTTTGACAAAGGTGCCAAGAACATGCACTGGAGAAAAGACAGTCTCCTCAATAAATGGTGCTGGGAAAACTGGGTATCCACATGCAGAAGGAGACTAAACTCCTACCTCTCACCATATACAAAAATCAATTCAAAATGCATTAAAGACTTAAATGTAGGTCTTTTGTAAAACTACTAGAAGAAGACATGGGGAAAATGCTTTATAACATTGAACTGGGAAAGGATTTTTTAAATAAGACTTCAAAAGCACAGGCAACAAAAACAAAAATAGACAAATGGGATTATAGCAAATGAAAAAGCTTTTGCACAGTGAAGGAAACAGAGTAAAGAGACAATCTATAGAATTAGATAAAATTCTTGCAAACAATATATCTCACAAGGGGTTAATATCCTAACTATAAAAATAACTAAGTAGCAAAAAAAGATTAAAAATGAGTAAAACATCTTAATAGTTTTTCAAAGAAGACCTACAAATGGCCAACAGGAATATGGAAAATGCTTCACATCACTAATCATCAGGGAAATGCAAATCAAAACCATAATAATATATTACCCTACTTCAGTCAGAATGGCTACTATCAAAAAGACAAAAGAAAATAAGTGTTGGAGAGGATGTAGAGAAAAAAGAACACTCACACACCACTGGCACAAATGTAAATTAGTACAGCCATTATAAAAAACAGTAGGGAAGTTTCTCAAAAAATTAAAAATGGAATTACCATGTGATTCAGCAATCCCACTCCTGGGTAAAAATCCAAAGGAAATAAAATCAATATGTTAAAGAGTTATTGAAAGACCAAATTATACCTTATAAACATGCACAACTACAATGTGTTAATTTTAATTTTTTTAATTTAAAAATGAATATAATATATTTTGGCCTTAATTTACCACACATATTTCTAAATACTTCTATAGCACTAAGGGTGTATTTAACTTTGCCAATGTTGATCATCAGTGGAGAAAGTATCTTCTAAAAATAACCATTTATTAATTGATTACGGCCTACTATTTCACAAAAAAGTGTTAAATCTAGAAACCATTTCTACAGGAAAGGACATAAAGTAAGCACTCAGTCTGTCATAAATTAATTTTCATAGAAACAAGATATGTGTTTTGTGACAAATTATATCATCTCAGTGGCTAGCTTTCCAAAGTTTGATTTAAAATTCTAAATCTCTTAACATTACGTGGCAACTTGATTGAGCCAGGATGTGCACAGATATTTCGTAACACATTAGTCTGAGTGTTCTTGTGAGGGTCTTTTTGGTTGGGGTTAACACTCAAGGAAAAGAGCAAGTTGACTGACTGATGCAGCCAGGTGGAACAGCTGCCACCAAGGGACCAAGACAACTAGCACACTTCAAACAGACCTTCAGAGAAAAGGCACTGAGTGTGGATGAACGGAAGACACAGAAGCTGGGCTGAAGAGGGAGAAAACTGGGAACCCTATATGGAGATACTGTGCATCTGGACTCATTCCTGGTCCCCAGTGGCTGTGGGGGAACACGTGAGTTGAACTGACAAAGAGCACCCTGCTCTCACCATGGTCCTCTGAAACCCCAGCAGAAAGAGATCCTTTGACCACCATGAACACTCAAGTAGGCAAGGAAAGCTACTTAAATAGTGGTAGGGGCAGTAAGCCAGCTGATGTAGAGCCCAGAGTGTTTGGTGCAAGAGCATCTGTAGCAGTGCATGGCCAGGGATGGCCATCCCCCTAGGCTCAACTTGCTCCCATAGGAGACCTTAGCCCTAGGGGAATTGCCAGACCTGAACTCTGCAGGATGGTCTTGCCCATAAGATAAGGCCAGTCTAATGTGAGCACCCCTGATCTGCTGGCCTTTCCTGGGGCCCCAGCCTGGCTACACCTGCTTACAGAGTAGCCTCAGGTGACCTGGGGTTCTGCATCATAGCTTCTGCGCTGGCAGACCCTGCCTGACTGGCAGGGAGCTCCAGTGGGGTGGCCCCCACAGCTATGCACCAGCCCTCATGCTCTCTCCCCATTCTGCAGCTTCGCCCAGACCCACAAGCAACTCCCCACATTGCTTTGCTGGTGCATGTCTGCACAGGCAAGTTTTGCTTTCCTTGCCCTGCCAACATGTGAGTATGTGTGTACCCCAACCTGCTACTGCTGCAGCAAGAGTGTAGTCTTCCACCCTTCTCCCTGCCAACTGCCATTGCAGATGGAGAATTGCAGGCACAGAGCCAGCCAGCCCAATCTCTGCTAGTCCCCCACTCTTGCACCAGCACTGCCATGGGAGTGAAACTAGGAACAGAGAACAGCAGGTCCTCCCCTTCCATGGGCAATCACTCCTGTTTGCAGTGCACAGAGAAATATTTCAGACCTGCATCTGCTAGCTCCTCACCACCGAGCCAAAACCACCACAAGAGTGACCATGCACAAAGTTGACAGCAGGGGCCTCCCACCCCCCTCCCAGCTGCATTCCCTCTGCCACTGTGATGAATACCCACAGGGAGGCAGGCATCTTGACACCCACTAACAACCTGCCACATCCAACAAGTGTGTACCCCACCATGCTGCCACTAATACTGCTACTGGCATGTGCAAATGAGGATAGATCCCACTGTCACTGCAGTATGAAATGCTTTGGCTGACATCACCCATTGGAGTGTAGTGACCACTGGTCCAGGAGCACCTCAGTCCCACCAACTATGGTGAAATACTAAACTTAAGAGACAGAAAACAAAGTTGGGGCCCAATGCAGTCCAGGAGTTGGGAGCTGAGCATTGGCCTCATAAAATCTTCCAGAAATGAAGCCAGTCAACTGAATCCACCTTGTACCACAATGAACCCCTCAAGGTGATCAAGTATGATAAAAGAAAATTAAAAAAAAAACCCAAGTCACTGTATTAGTCCATTCTCACACTGTTAATAAAGACATACCCAAGACTAGGTAATTTATAAAGAAAAAACGGTTTAATTGGCTCACAGTTCAGCAAGGCTGGGGAGGCCTCAGGAAACTTACAAACATGGTCGAAGGGGAAGCAAATATATCCTTCTTCAAATGGCAGCAGCAAGGAGAAATGCTGAGCAAAAGAGGGCAACCTCCTTATAAAACCATCAGATCTCATGAGAACGTACTATTATGCGAACAGCATGAGGGTCCACCCCCATGATTAAATTACCTTCCACTGGTTCCCTCCCATGACACATGGGGATTATGGGAACTATAATTCAAGATGATATTTTGGTGGGGACACATCCATACCATATTATTCTACCCCCGGCCCCTCCCAAATCTCATGTCCTCAGATTTCAAAACACAATCATGCCTTTGCAACAGTCCCCCAAAGTCTTAGCTCATTCCAGCATTAACCCAAAAGTCCAAGTTCAAAGTCTCGTCTGAGATAAGGCAAGTCCCTTCCACCTATGAGCCTGTAAAATCAAAAGTTAGTTAGTTACTTCCTAGATACAGTGGGGGTACAGGCACTTGATAAACACGCCCTTTCCAAATGAAATAAATTGGCCAAAACAAAGGGGCTACAAGTCCCATGCAAGTCTGAAATCCCACAGGACAGTCACTAAACCTTAAAGTTTTAAAATGACCTTCTATGACTCCATGTTTCATATCCAAGTGACACTGATGCAAGATTGGGCTCCCACAGCCTTGGGCAGCTCTGCCTCTGTGGCTTTGCATGGTACAGCCCCCTCCTGGTTGCTTTCACAGCTGGCATTGAGTGTCTGTGGCTTTTCCAGGCCCACAGTCACAAGCTGTAGGTGGATCTACTATTCTGGAGTCTGGAAGACAGTGACCCTCTCTTGCCCTCACTCCACTAGCCAGTGCCCCAGTGGGGACTTTGTGTGAGGGCTCCAACCTCACATTTCTCTTCTGTACTGCCCTAGCAGACATTCTCCATGAGGGCTTCACTCCTGCAGCAGACTTCTGCCTAGACATCCAGGCATTTCTATACATCCTCTGAAATTTAGGCAGAGGGGCCCAAGCTCAGTTCTCATCCTCTGCACACCCGCAGGCCCAACACCATGTGGAGATTGCCAAGGCTTAGGGCTTGCACCCTCTGAAGCAACAGCCTGAGCTGTACCTTGGCCCCTTTTAGTCACAGCTGGAGCAGCTGGAACACAGGGCAACAAGTCCTGAGGCTGCACACAGCAGGGGGGCCCTAGACCCTGCCCAGGAAACCATCTTTCCCTCCTAGGCCTCCAGGCCAGTGATAGGAAGGGCTGCCGTGAAGGTCTCTGACATGTCCTGGAGGCGTTTTCCCTATTGTCTTGGTGATTAGAATTTAGCTCCTCTTTACTTATGCAAACTTCTGCAGCCAGCTTGAGACTTGAATTTCTCCCTCAAAAATTGGTTTTTCTTTTCTGCTGCATCATCAGGCTGCAAATTTTCCAAACTTTTATGCTCTGTTGCCTCTTGAATGCTTTGCTGCTTAGAAAATTTATTCCACTAAATACCTTAAATTATCTCTCCCAAGTTCAAAGTTCCACAGATCTCTAGGACAGAGGCAAAATGCCACCAGTCTCTTTGCTAAAGCATAAGATTTTGAAGAGTCACCTCTGTCCCAGTTCCCAAAAAGTTCCTATTCTCCATCTGAGACCACCTCAGCCTGGACTTTGTTGTCCATATCACTAACAGCATTTTGGTCAAAACCATTCAACAAATCTGTAGGAAGTTTCAAAGTTTCCCACCTCTTTCTGTCTTCTGAGCCCTCCAAGTCTATAGGAAGCTCCAAACTTTCCCACATTTTCTTGTCTTCTTCTAAGCCCTTCAAACTGTTCCAATCTCTGCCTGTTACCCAGTTCCAAAGTTGCTTACCCATTTTTGGATATCTTTACAGTAGTACCCCACTCTCTGCAGTAACAATTTACTCTATTAGTTTGTTCTCATGCTGCTAATAAAGACATACCAAAGACTGAATAATTTATAAAAGAAAGAGGTTTAACTGACTCACAGTTCAGCATGACTGAGGAGGCCTCAGGAAACTTAAAATCATGGCAAAAGATGAAGCAAACATGTCCTTCTTTACATGGCAGAAACAAAGAGAAGTGCTGAATAAAAGGAGGAAAAGCTCCTTATAAAACCGTCAGATTTTGTGAGAACTCACTACTATGAGAACAGCATGAGGGTAACCACCCCCATGATTAAATTACCTCTCAGCAGGTCCTTCCTACAACACATGGGAATTATGGGAACTATAAATCCAGATGAGATTTGGGCAGAGACATAGCCAAACCATATCAATCAGCAACCTCAAAGATTGAAGGAACATAAGTCCATGAAGATGAGAAAGAACCAGCACAAGAACCCTGACCACTAAAGAGCCAGAGTGCCTTCTTTCCTCCAAACAACTACATCAACCCTCCAGCAAGCATTCAGAAACAGGCTGAAATGGCTGAAATGAGAGAAATGTAGTTCAGAACATAAACAGAAATGAAGATCATTGAGCTATGGAAGTACATTGAAACCCAGTCCAAGAAAGCAAAGAATCACAATAAAACAATGCAGAAGTTGATAGACAAAATAGTATAGAAAATAATGTAACCAACCTGATAGAGCTGAATAACACACTACAAGAATTTTCATAATGCAATCACAAGTATTAATAGAAGAATAGACCAAGCAGAGGAAAGAATCTTAGAGATTGAAGACTGGCTTTCTGAAATCAGACAGACAGTAGTAGAGAAAAAAGAATGAAAAAGAACAAAACCTCTGAGAAATATGTGATTATGTACAGAAAGCAAATCTACAACTCATAGGTGTCTCTGAAAGAGATGGGGAGAATAAAATCAAGTTGGAAAACATGTTTCAGGATATCATCCATGAGAACTTCCCCAAACTAGCTAGAGAGGACAATATTCAAATTCAAGAAATGCAGAGAAGCCCAGTAAAACACCTCACAAGAAGATCACCACCATAATACATTAATTATCAGACTCTCCAAGGATAAAACGCAAGAAAAAATGTTAAAGGCAACTTCAGAGAAAGGCCAGGTCACTTACAAAGAAAAATCCATCAGACTAACAGTGGTCCTCTCGGCTAAAACCCTAAAAAGACAGAAGAGACTGGGGGCCAATATTCAACATTCTTAAAGAAAAGAAATTCCAACCCATAATTTCATGTCTGGTCAAAGTACAAATCGTAAGTAAAAAAGAAATAACATCCTTTTCAGACAAGCAAAAGTAGAGGGAAGTTCCTACCACCAGAACTGACTTATAAGAGTTCCTGAAGGAAGCATGAAATATGGAAAGGAAAGATCATTACCAGCCACTACAAAAACACACTGAAGTACACAGACCAGTGACATTACAAAGCAACCACATAAACATGTTGCAAAATAACCAGCTAGTGTTATGATGACAAAATTAAATCCACACATATCAACAGTAACCTTGAATGTAAATGGGATAAATGTTTCAATTATAAGACACAGAGTGGCAAGCCAAATAAAAAACCAAGACCCATTGGTATGCAGTCTTCAAGAGACCCATCTCACATGCAATGACACACAGAGGTTCAAAATAAAAGGATGGAAAAAAATCTACCAAGCAAATAGAAAATGGAAAAAAGCAAGGGTTACAATCCTAGTTCCAGATAAAACAGTCTTTAAACCAACAAAGATTTAAAAAGGTAAACAGCATTAGATAATGGTACAGGGTTCAACTCAACAAGAAGACCTAACTATTCTAAATATATATGCACCCAACACAGGAGCACCCAGATTCATAAAGCAAGCTCTTAGAGACCTGCAAAGAGACTTAGACTCCCACACAATAATAGTGGGAAACTTTAACACCCCACTGACAACATTAGACAGATCATCAAGATGGAAAATTAACAAAGATATTCAGGACCTGAGCTCAGCACTGGATCAAACGGACCTAATAGACATCTACAGATCTTGTCACCCACCCAAAACAACCAACAGGATATAAATTTTTCTTTTTTTTTTTTTTTTTGAGATGAAGTCTTTCTGTTGTTGGCCTCGGCTGGAGTGCAATTGCGTGATCTCAGCTCACTGCATCCTCTGCCTCCCGGGTTCCAGCAATTCTGCCTCAGCCTCCTGAGTAGCTGAGATTACAGGCACCTGCCACCATGCATGGCTAATTTTTGTATTTTCAGCAGAGATGGGGGTTTCACCATGTTGGCCAGGCTGGTCTTGAACTCCTGACCTCAGGTGATCCACGGACTGTGGCCTCCCAAAGTGCTGGGATTACAGGCATGAGCCACCACGCCTGGCCCAGAATATACATTTGTCTTATCATTACATGTTACATAGTCTAGAGGAGATTACATAACTGGAAATAAAACATCCTTCAGCAAATGCATAAAAACTGAAAGTATAACAACCAATATCTCAAAGCCCAGCACAATCAAATCAGAAATCAAGACTGAGAAATTCACTCAAAACCATACATTACAGGGAAATTGAATAACCTGCACTGAATGACTTTTAGGTAAATGATGAAATAAGGGCAGAAATCAAGAAGTTATTCAAAACTAATGAGAATAAAAATACAACATTCCAGAATCTCTGAGGCACAGCTAAGGTGGTGTTAAGAAAGAAATTTATAGCACTAAATGCCCACATCAAAAAGTTGGAAAGATCTCGAGTTAACATGCTAACATTACAACAAAAAGAACTAGAGAACCAGGAGAAAAACAACCCCAAAGCTAGCAGAAGACAAGGAATAACCAAAATCAGAGCTGAACTCAAGGAGATTGAAATGTGAGAAACCATTCAAAAGATCAACAAAACCAGGAGGTGATTTTTGAAAAAATTAATAAAATAGACTCCTAGCTAGACTAATAAACAAGAAAAGAAAGAAGATTCCAAAAAACACAATCAGAAATGACAAGGGGGATATTACCACTGACCCCATAGAAATATAAATAACCATCAGACAATATTATAAATACCTCTAAGCAAATAAACTAGAAAATCTAGAAGAAATTGATAAATTCCTGGACACATAAACACTCTCCCCTCTCCCAAGACTAAATCATGAAGAAATTCAACTCCTGAACATAACAATAATGACCTCTGAAACTGAAGAGATTGTACCATTCCTACTGAAACTATTCCTAAAAATTGAGGTGGAGGAACTCCTTCCTAACTCATTCTGAGGCCAGCATCATCCTGATACCAGTACCTGGCAGAGACACAACAATAAAAGAAAACTTTAGGCCAATATACTTAATGAACATTGATGCAAAAATCCTCAACACAACACTGGCAAATCAAATCCAGCAGCACATCAAAAACTTTATCTACAATGATCAAGTAGGCTTTATCCCTGGGATGCAAAGTTTGATTCATTTATAACATAAACAGAACTATAAGAATGAACCAGCACAAGAACCCTGACCACTCAAAAAGCCAGTATGCCTTCTTTCCTCAAATGACCATGTCATCTCTCCAGCAAGGGTTCAGAACCATGATTATCTCAATAAATGCAGAAAAGGTTTTTAATAAAACTCAACACCGCTTCATAGTAAAACTTCTCAGTAAACTAGATACTGATGGAACATACCTCAGAATAGTAAGAGTCATCAGCGACAAACCCACAGCCAACATCATACTGAACAGGAAAAAGCTGGAAGCATTCCCCTTGAAAACTGGCACAAGAAAAGAATGCTGTCTCTCATCACTCCTATTCAACATAGTAATGGAAGTTCTGGCCAGGGCAATCAGGCAAGAGAAAGAAATAAAGGGCATCCAAATAGGAAGAGAAGAAGTCAAACTACATCTGTTTACACATGACATAATCCTATATCTAGAAAATCCCACTGTCTCAGTTCAAAAGCTCCTTAAGCTGATAAACAACTTCAGCAATGTCTCAGGATAAAAAATCAATTTGCAAAAATCACTAGCACTCCTATACATTAACAAGAGTCAAGACAAGAGCCAAATTAGGAATGATCTCCCATTCACAGTTGCCACAAAAAGAATAAAATACTTAGTAAAATAGCTAACTATCAATGTAAAAGATCTCTTCAAGGAGAACTATGAAACATTGCTCAAAAAAATCGAGATGACACAAATAAATGGAAACATATTCCATGCACATGGATAGAAAGAATCAGTATCACTAAAATGGCCATATTGCCCAAAGCAATTTATAGATTCAATGCTATTCCGATTAAACTACCATTGAGATTCTTCATAGAACTAGAAAAAAAAACTATTTTAAAATTCACGTGGAACCAAAAAAAGAGCCCAAATAGCCAAGGCAATCCTAAGCAAAAAAAAAAAAAAAAAAAAAGCTGGAAGCATCATGCTACCTGACTTCAAACTATACTACAGTGCTACAGTAACCAAACAGCTTGGTATGGGTACAAAAACAGACACATAGACCAAGGGAACAGAATAGAGAACCCTGAAATAAGGCCACACACCTATATGCATCTGATCTTTAACAAACCTCACAAAAACAAGCAATGGGGGAAAGAATTCCCTATTCAATAAATGCTACTGGGGCAACTGGGTAGCCATATGCAGAAGATTGAAATTAAACAAAAATTAGGAGGAGCCAAGACGGCCGAATAGGAACAGCTCCGGTCTACAGCTCCCAGCGTGAGCAACGAAGAAGATGGGTGATTTCTGCATTTCCATCTGAGGTACCGGGTTCATCTCACTAGGGAGTGCCAGACAGTGGGTACAGGTCAGTGGGTGCAGCGCACCGTGCGCGAGCCAAAGCAGGGTGAGGCATTGCCTCACTCGGGAAGCCCAAGGGGTCAGGGAGTTCCCTTTCCTAGTCAAAGAAAGGGGTGACAGACGGCACCTGGAAAATTGGGTCACTCCCACCCGAATACTGCGCTTTTCCGACGGGCTTAAAAAATGGCGCACCAGGAGATTATATCCCGCACCTGGCTTGGAGGGTCCTACGCCCACAGAGTCTCGATGATTGCCAGCACAGCAGTCTGAGATCAAACTGCAAGGCAGCAGCGAGGCTGGGGGAGGGGTGCCCGCCATTGCCCAGGCTTGCTTAGGTAAACAAAGCAGCCAGGAAGCTCCAACTGGGTGGATCCCACCACAGCTCAAGGAGGCCTGTCTGCCTCTGTAGGCTCCACCTCTGGGGGCAGGGCACAGACAAACAAAAAGACAGCAGTAACCTCTGCAGACTTAAATGGCCCTGTCTGACAGCTTTGAAGAGAGCAGTGGTTCTCCCAGCACGCAGCTGGAGATCTGAGAACGGGCAGACTGCCTCCTCAAGTGGGTCCCTGACCCCTGAGCCCCGAGCAGTCTAACTGGGAGGCACCCCCCAGCAGGGGCACACTGACACCTCACACGGCCAGGTACTCCAACAGACCTGCAGCTGAGGGTCCTGTCTGTTAGAAGGAAAACTAACAAACAGAAAGGACATCCACACCAAAAACCCATCTGTACATCACCATCATCAAAGACCAAAAGTAGACAAAACCACAAAGATGGGGAAAAAACAGAGCAGAAAAACTGGAAACTCTAAAAAGCAGAGCACCTCTCCTCCTCCAAAGGAACGCAGTTCCTCACCAGCAACAGAACAAAGCTGGATGGAGAATGACTTTGACGAGCTGAGAGAAGAAGGCTTCAGATGATCAAATTACTCCCAGCTATGGGAGGACATTCAAATCAAAGGCAAAGAAGTTGAAAACTTTGAAAAAAGTTTAGAAGAATGTATAACTAGAATAACCAATACAGAGAAGTGCTTAAAGGAGCTGATGGAGCTGAAAACCAAGGCTCGAGAACGACGTAAAGAATGCAGAAGCCTCAGGAGCCGATGCAATCAACTGGAAGAAAGGGTATCAGCGATGGAAGATGAAATGAATGAAATGAAGTGAGAAGGGAAGTTTAGAGAAAAAAGAATAAAAAGAAATGAGCAAAGCCTCCAAGAAATATGGGACTATGTGAAAAGACCAAATCTACCTCTGATTGGTGTACCTGAAAGTGACGGGGAGAATGGAACCAAGTTGGAAAACACTCTGCAGGATATTATCCAGGAGAACTTCCCCAATCTAGCAAGGCAGGCCAATGTTCAGATTCAGGAAATACAGAGAACGCCACAAAGATACTCCTTGAGAAGAGCAACTCCAAGACACATAATTGTCAGATTCACCAAAGTTGAAATGAAGGAAAAAATGTTAAGGGCAGCCAGAGAGAAAGGTCGGGTTACCATCAAAGGGAAGCCCATCAGACTAACAGTGGATCTCTTGGCAGAAACTCTACAAGCCAGAAGAGAGTGGGGGCCAATATTCAACATACTTAAAGAAAAGAATTTTCAACCCGGAAATTCATATACAGCCAAACTAAGCTTCATAAGTGAAGGAGAAATAAAATACTTTACAGACAAGCAAATGCTGAGAGATTCTGTCACCACCAGGCCTGCCCTAAAAGAGCTCCTGAAGGAAGCGCTAAACGTGGAAAGGAACAACCGGTACCAGCCACTGCAAAATCATGCCAAAATGTAAAGACCATTGAGACTAGGAAGAAACTGCATGAACTAACGAGCAAAATAACCAGCTAACGTCATAATGACAGAATCAAATTCATACATAACAATATTAACTTTAAATGTAAATGAACTAAAAGCTCCAATTAAAAGACACAGACTGGCAAATTGGATAAAGAGTCAAGACCCATCAGTGTGCTGTATTCAGGAAACCCATCTCATGTGCAGAGACACACATAGGCTCAAAATAAAAGGATGGGGGAAGATCTACCAAGCAAATGGAAAACAAAAAAAGGCAGGGGTTGCAATCCTAGTCTCTGATAAAACGGACTTTAAACCAACAAAGATCAAAAGAGACAAAGAAGGCCATTACATAATGGTAAAGGGATCACTTCAACAAGAAGAGCTAACTATCCTAAATATAGATGCACCCAATACAGGAGCACCCAGATTCATAAAGCAAGTCCTGAGTGACCTACAAAGAGACTTAGACTCCCACACATTAATAATGGGAGACTTTAACACCCCACTGTCAACATTAGACAGATCAATGAGACAGAAAGTCAACAAGGATATCCAGGAATTGAACTCAGCTCTGCACCAAGCGGACCTAATAGACATCTACAGAACTCTCCACCCCAAATCAACAGAATATACATTTTTTTCAGCACCACACCACACCTATTCCAAAATTGACCACATACTTGGAAGTAAAGCTCTCCTCAGCAAATGTAAAACAAAAGAAATTATAACAAACTATCTCTCAGACCACAGTGCAATCAAACTAGAACTCAGGATTAAGAATCTCACTCAAAACCGCTCAACTACATGGAAACTGAACAACCTGCTCCTGAATGACTACTGGGTACATAACGAAATGAAGGCAGAAATAAAGATGTTCTTTGAAACCAACGAGAACAAAGACACAACATACCAGAATCTCTGGGACGCATTCAAACCAGTTTGTAGAGGGAAATTTATAGCACTAAATGCCCACAAGAGAAAGCAGGAAAGATCCAAAATTGACACCCTAACATCACAATTAAAAGAACTAGAAAAGCAAGAGCAAACACATTCAAAAGCTAGCAGAAGGCAAGAAATAAATAAAATCAGAGCAGAACTCAAGGAAATAGAGACACAAAAAACCCTTCAAAAAATTAATGAATCCAGGAGCTGTTTTTTTGAAAGGATCAACAAAATTGATAGACTGCTAGCAAGACTAATAAAGAAAAAAAGAGAGAAGAATCAAATAGACGCAACAAAAAATGATAAAGGGGATATCACCACCGATCCCACAGAAATACAAACTACCTTCAGAGAATACTACAAACACCTCTACGCAAATAAACTAGAAAATCTAGAAGAAATGGATACATTCGTCGAAACATACACTCTCCCAAGACTAAACCAGGAAGAAGTTGAATCTCTGAATAGACCAATAACAGGAGCTGAAATTCTGGCAGTAATCAATAGCTTACCAACCAAAAAGAGTCCAGGACCAGATGGATTCACAGCTGAATTCTACCAGAGGTACAAGGAGGAACTGGTACCATTCCTTCTGAAACTATTCCAATCAATAGAAAAAGAGGGAATCCTCCCTCACTCATTTTATGAGGCCAGCATCATCCTGATACCAAAGCTGGGCAGAGACACAACCAAAAAAGAGAATTTTAGACCAATATCCTTGATGAACATTGATGCAAAAATCCTCAATAAAATACTGGCAAACCGAATCCAGCAGCACATCAAAAAGCTTATCCACCATGATCCAGTGGGCTTCATCCCTGGGATGCAAGGCTGGTTCAATATACGCAAATCAATAAATGTAATCCAGCATATAAACAGAGCCAAAGACAAAAACCACATGATTATCTCAATAGATGCAGAAAAGGCCTTTGACATAATTCAACAACCCTTCATGCTAAAAACTCTCAATCAATTAGGTATTGATGGGACGTATTTCAAAATAATAAGAGCTATCTATGACAAACCCACAGCCAATATCATACTGAATGGGCAAAAACTGGAAGCATTCCCTTTGAAAACTGGCACAAGACAGGGATGCCCTCTCTCACCAATCCTATTCAACATAGTGTTGGAAGTTCTGGCCAGGGCAATTAGGCAGGAGAAGGAAATAAAGGGTATTCAATTAAAAAAAGAGGAAGTCAAATTGTCCCTGTTTGCAGATGACATGATTGTATATCTAGAAAACCCCATTGTCTCAGCCCAAAATCTCCTTAAGCTGATAAGCAACTTCAGCAAAGTCTCAGGATACAAAATCAATGTGCAAAAATCACAAGCATTCTTATACAACAATAACAGACAAACAGAGAGCCAAATCTTGAGTGAACTCCCATTCACAATTGCTTCAAAGAGAATAAAATATCTAGGAATCCAACTTACAAGGGATGTGAAGGACCTCTTCGAGAAGAACTACAAACCACTGCTCAAGGAAATACAAGAGGATAAAACAAACGGAAGAACATTCCATGCTCATGGGTAGGAAGAATCAATATCGTGAAAATGGTCATACTGCCCAAGGTAATTTACAGATTCAATGCCATCCCCATCAAGCTACCAATGACTTTCTTCACAGAATTGGAAAAAACTACTTTAAAGTTCATATGGAACCAAAAAAGAGCCCACAGCGCCAAGTCAATCCTAAGTCAAAAGAACAAAGCTGGAGGGCATCACACTACCTGACTTCAAACTATACTACAAGGCTACAGTAACCAAAACAGCATGGTACTGGTACCAAAACAGAGATATAGATCAATGGAACAGAACAGAGCCCTCAGAAATAATGCCACATATCTACAACTATCTGATCTTTGACAAACCTGAGAAAAACAAGCAATGGGGAAAGGATTCCCTGTTTAATAAATGGTGCTTGGAAAACTGGCTAGCCATATGTAGAAAGCTGAAACTGGATCCCTTCCTTACACCTTATACAAAAATCAATTCAAGATGGATTAAGGACTTAAATGTTAGACCTAAAACCACAAAAACCCTAGAAGAAAACCTAGGCTTTACCATTCAGGACATAGGCATGGGCAAGGACTTCATGTCTAAAACACCAAAAGCAATGGCAACAGAAGCCAAAATTGACAAATGGGATCTAATTAAACTAAAGAGCCTCTGCACAGCAAAAGAAACTACCATCAGAGTGAACAGGCAACATTTCACAGAGTGAAATGGGAGAAAATTTTCGCAACCTTCTCATCTGACAAAGGGCTAATATCCAGAATCTACAATGAACTCAAACAAATTTACAAGAAAAAAACAAACAACCCCATCAAAAAGTGGGCAAAGGACATGAACAGACACTTCTCAAAAGAAGACATTTATGCAGCCAAAACACACATGAAAAAATGCTCACCATCACTGGCCATCAGAGAAATGCAAATCAAAACCACAATGAGATACCATCTCACACCAGTTAGAATGGCCATCATTAAAAAGTCAGGAAACAACAGGTGCTGGAGAGGATGTGGAGAAATAGGAACACTTTTATACTGTTGGTGGGACTGTAAACTAGTTCAACCATTGTGGAAGTCAGTGTGGTGATTCCTCAGGGATCTAGAACTAGAAATACCATTTGACCCAGCCATCCCATTACTGGGTATATAACCAAAGGACTATAAATCATGCTGCTATAAAGACACATGCACACGTATGTTTATTGCGGCACTATTCACAATAGCAAAGACTTGGAACCAACCCAAATGTCCAACAATGATAGACTGGATTAAGAAAATGTGGCACATATACACCATGGAATACTATGCAGCCATAAAAAATGATGAGTTCATGTCCTTTGTAGGGACATGGATGAAATTGGAAATCATCATTCTCAGTAAACTATCGCAAGAACAAAAAACCAAACACCGCATATTTTCACTCATAGGTGGGAATTGAACAATGAGAACACATGGACACAGGAAGGGGAACATCACACTCTGGGGACTGTTGTGGGGTGGGGGGAGGGGGGAGGGATAGCATTGGGAGATATACCTAATGCTAGATGACGAGTTAGTGGGTGCAGCGCACCAGCATGGCACATGTATACATATGTAACTAACCTACATTGTGCATATGTACCCTAAAACTTAAAGTGTAATAATAAAAAAAAAATTAACTCAAGATGGATTAAAGACCTAAATATAGAACTCAAATCTATAAAAATCCTGGACGACAACCTAGGCAATACCATTCTGGACATAGAAATGAGCAAAACTTTTTTAACAAAGATGCCAAAAGCAATTGCAACAAAAACAAAAATTGACAAATAAAATCTAATTAAAGAGCTTCTGCAAAGCAAAAGAAACTGTCAACAGAGTAAACAGACAACCTACAGAAAGGGAGAAAAATTTTGCAAACTATGCATCTGACAAAGGTCTAATATCCAACATCTATAAGAAACTTAAATTTACAAGAAAAAATCAAACAACCCTATTAAAAAGTGGGCAAAGGACATGAAGAGACACTTTTCAAAAAGAGGACATACAAACATTCAAAAGAAGTCAACAATCATATAAAAGAAAGCTCAACATCACTGGTCATTAGAGAAATGCAAATCAAAACCATAATGAGACATTATCTCACACCAGTCAGAATGGCTATTATTAAAAAGTCAAAAAAATAACATGCTGGCTAGGTTGTGGAGAGAAAGAAGTGCTTATGCACTATTGTGGGAATGTAAATTAGTTCAACCATTGTGGAAGACAGTGTGGTAGTTCCTCAAAGACCTAAAAACAGAACTACCATTTGACCCAGCAATTCCATTACTGGTTATATGCCCAAAGGAGTATAAATCATTCTATCATCAAGACACATGCACGCATATGTTCATTGTAGCACTATTAAGAAAAGCGAAGACATAGAATCAACCTAAATGTCCATCAGTGGTAGGCAGGATAAAGAAAATGTAGTACCTATATACCATGGAATACTGTGCAGACAAAAAATAATGAGATCATGTCCTTTGCAGGAACATGGATGGAGCTGGAGGCTATTATCCTTAGCAAACCAACACAGGAACAGAAAACCTAATACTTATTAAGTGGGAGCTAAATGATGAGAACACAGGGACACATAGAGGGGAACAATGCACACTGGGGCCTATTGGAGGCTGGAAGCTGGGAGAAGAAAGAGGATTAAGAAAATTAATGCGTACTAGCAAGTTTAATAGGCTTATCAATAGGCGTAATACCTGGGTGATGAAATAATCTGTACAACAAACCCCTATGACACAAGTTTACCTATATAACAAACTGCACATGTACTCTGAACTTAAAAGTTAAATGAAATTTTTTTTAAAAAAAAACAAAGAAAACATTTAAGTTGGTAGGACTGAGTAAAGTAGTTTGTCTCTCAGAAGTAAGTTGACCTGACCAAATCAAGCAAAGACCTCAATAGTACAAAAAGTTTTACTCTCCCTAAAGTAATAAAAAATTCCTCCTGCCTAACTACCTTCAAACTGGAACATCATGTTTTTGCCTGACTTCAGACTCCTACTGAAAGATCAATTCTTTCTGGGTCTTGAGCCCACAAGCCTTCAGACTGAAATTTATTGACTGTCCTGTGTCTTTGCTTGCCAACTCACCCTGCAGATTTTGGGACTTGTCAGCCCCTCATAATCACATGAGCCAATTCCTTATTCACACTGACATGATTTGATTCTATGTCCCGACTGAAATCTCATCTCCAATTTTAATCCCCATATGTGAGGGGAGGAACCTGGTAGGAGGTGATTGGATCATGGGGGTGGTTTCTCCCATGCTTTTCTCATGATACAGAGTAAATTCTCATGAGACATGATGGTTTAAAAATGTGACATTTCCTCATTTTCTCTCTCTCTCTCTCTCTCTCTCTCTCTCTATTGCCACCATATGAGACATGCCTTGCTTCCTCTTCACCTTCCACTGTGATTGTAGGTTTCCTGAGGCCTCCACAGCCATGTGGAACTGTGAGACAATTAAACTTCCTTTCTTTATAAATTACCCAGTCTCAGGTAGTTCTTTATAGCAGTGTGAAAATGGACTCAAACAAAGAGTTGGGATCAGGAGTTTGGAGTACAACTATAATAATACCTGAAAATATGAAAGCAACTTTGGAACTGGGTAACAGGCAGAAGTTGGAACAGTCTGGAGGGCTCAGACGAAGACGGAAGTTGTAGGAAAGTTTGGAACTTCCTACAGACTTGTTGAATAGTTTTAACCAAAACGCTGATAGCCATATGGACAATGAAGTCCAGGCTGAGGTGGTCTCAGATGAAGATGAGGAACTTATTGGAAACGGGAGCAAAGGTCACTCTTGCTATGCTTTACCTAAGAGATTGGTGGCATTTTGCCCCTTTACTAGAGATCTGTGGAACTTCGAACTTGAGAGAGATGATTTAGGGTATCTGACAGAAGCAATTTTGAAGCAGCAAAGCATTCAAGATGTGACCTGGCTTTTTCTGAAAGCATACAGTCATACACATTTACAAAGAGATGATCTGAAATTGGAACTTATATTTAAGAGAAAAGCAGTACTTAAAGGTTTGGAAAATTTGCAGCCTGACTATGCAGTAGAAAAGAAAAACCCATTTTCTGGGAAAAAGTCAAGCTGGCCACAGAAATTTTCATAAGTAACAAGGAGCCAGACGTTAAAAGCTGAGACAATGGGGAAAATGTCTCCAGGGTATTTCAGAGCTCTTCATGGCAGCCCCTCCCATCACAGGCCCAGAGGCCTAAGAGGGAAATATGGTTTCATAGGCTGGGCCCAGGGTCCTGTGCTGTTCTATACAACCTTGGGGCATGGCACCCAGAGTCCCACCCACTCCAGCTCCAACCATGGCTAAAAGAGGCCAAGGCAGAGTTTAGACCATTGCTTCAGAGGGTGCAAGCCCCAAGCCGTGATGGCTTCCACATGGTGTTGGGCCTCTGGGTGCATAAAAGACAAGGACTGAGCTTTGGGAGCCTCCACCTAGATTTCAGAGAATGTATGAAAATGCCTGGATGCCCAGGCAGAAGTCTGCTGCAGGGGTGGAATCCTCATGAAGAACCTCTACTAGGGCAATGCAGAGGGGAAATGTGGAGTTGGAGCGCACAGAGTCCCTACTGGGGCACTGTCTAGTGGAGCTGTGAGAAGACGGCCACCATCCTCCAGACCCCAGAATGGTAGATCCACTGAAAGCTTGCACTGTGTGCCTGGAGAAGCCACAGGCACTCAATGCCAGCCTGTGAAAGCAGCTGCAGGGACTGAACCCTGCAGAGCTACAGGGGCAGATTTTTCCAAGGCCATGGGAACCCACCCTTTGTATCACCCTGGATGTGAGACAGGGAGTCAAAGGAGGTTTTTTTGGAGGTTTAAGATTTAATGACTGCCCTCCTGGGTTTCAGAGTTACCTGGGACTCTTTGTAGTCCCTTTGTCTGTAGCCCCTTTGTTTTGGCCAATTTCTCTTTTGGAATGGCAACATTTACCTAATGCCTGTACCCTCATTGTATCTTGGAAGTAACTAACTTGTTTTTATTTTACAGGCTCCTAGGTGGAAGAGACTTTGCCTTGTCTCAGATGAAATTTTGGACTTTGACTTTTGAGTTAATGCTCCAATGAGTAAAGACTTTAGGGGACTGTTGAGAAGGCATGACTGAATTTGCAATGGAAGAAGGACATGATATTTGAGAGGAGTCAGGGGCAGAATGATATGGTTTGGCTCTGTGTCCCCACCCAAATCTCATCTTGAATTGTAATCCCCACATGTTAGGGGAGGGACCTGGTGGGAGGTGATTGGATCAAGAGAGTTGTTTCCTCCATGCTGTTTTCATGATAGTGAGTGAATTTTCATGATATCTGATGGTTTAGAGGTGTAGCACTTCCCCCTCTTCTCTCTCTCTCTCACTCCTGCTGCAATGTAAGACGTGCCTTGCTTCCCCTTTGCCTTCCACCATGATTGTAAGTTTCCTGAGGCGTCCCCAGCCATGTAGAACTGTGAGTCAATTAAACCTCTTTTCTTTATAAATTATCCAGTCTCTGGCAGTTCTTTATAGCACTGTGAGACTGGACTAATACACACACACACACACACACCCCTTATTGGACATATATATATTATATTGGATATATCATATATTTGCAATAAGTTGTCTCCCTGAAGAACTCCTATTAATACACATTATTTTCTGTTTAATGATTCAACTTAATTCCTGCAGAATGGCTTTATGTTTTTAATATTTGTTATTCTTGAGTATTCTTTTCAATTGAGGAAGATGCAACTCTTTTTCTGATTTGCACAAAGATATCAAAGGCCAGTGGTAGCTTTGGAGGTAGTATAGAACAGAGAAGCCAACATTGTAAAGGGATTTACAGCCAGAACTTAAGCCTGTTTAATATCTGACTTCACACCCATTGGGTGAGTGGTCTTGGGCTCATGCCGTGCCCTCTGTGCTTTAGTTTTTTTATCTACAATATGGAGCTGACATGATTTAAGTAATTATACTATAAAAATCACTTACAACAGTGCCTAACAAGTAGCTATAAGTACTAGATATTGCTATTATTATTATCTTTAGTATATTTAAAGTGCATGTTACAATTTCTTAAATTCTATTGAGCATGAAACTTATGGTATCCTTTATTATTAGGATCACCCCATTCCAGAAAACTAAAGGCAAATTAGAAGGGAAAAATTATCTTCTCATTGAACCTTTGACATGAACATGGCATGTCACTGATGCCAATTTTGAAAGGGTGGGTTTTTTTGTTATTTTTTTTCATATATCTCAGAGTCAGGAATACATTATGTATCCTCTAACTTTTCTTCTTAATATCAACCTTGCCTCTGTTTTTAGAAAAATATAGTTCACTTATAATTATTCCATTCATTAAAATGTTAAGTGCTAAAGATACACTGGTGAATATGTAATTCCTGACCTTAAAAATTTCCCATTAACAAAGGTAATTATCAGTGTGGATAATACCACAGTAGCTAAATTACCAGTTGGCTTTTCTAACCATGACTGTAGGCTTTAAATTCCAGAAACAAAGTAATCAAATAGAAAAAGACTCTAAGAATTTGAAGGTAGTTCAAGGAAGAATCCCAAAAGCACAAACAGCTAACTTAATTATTTAATCTTTGTTCCATCATTGGCCTTTCTGTGGTGCCATACCTTGCACAAATGATATTTTTGGAAAGGAAACTCAAACTATGTTAGAAAATGGTATTCAGGTTTCATATTAGGTCTGAAGGAACTATTGAAACTGACAAAGATAATCAGAATTTTTATCTAGTGGAAAAGTTACTGCACTAACTCTATTACCATTTTAAAGCAATGTGTACTAATTTCCCACTGAATGAGGCTAGGCTACACCTCCTTATAGCTACACTCCAGGGTCACAATAGCCATGTCATCACTACAGAGCCAGGATAAAAATCTTAGCTAATGAGCTGTCTTCCCACCCCAGAAAGAGTGGCCCAAGGAGTTTAAGAGAAAGCTACCCAGCCTTCTTCTCTTGTAATAAACAGAGCAGCTGCTGAGATACCATTACCATAACAAGTGAATAACCTCAAAGAGACACTGATTTGGAATCCTTCAGGAGTAGACAACCCCCGGGTATAGGGGCACCTTCTAGCACCCAGACCTCACATGATTCTAATATATTCTCAGGAAAGCATTCTGTGTATCCATGATGTCCATCTCTGAAGCCGCTGTTTGCCCTAGTGGCTTCAGCCAGGCTGCTCCAGGAGTCCCTTGGCAAGCACCCAAATCCACTTCAGGACACTGATTGACATCTTTGTCTGACTGAATCTCACATGATTTTGGATTTTACTTGAATTGTTTTCAGTGGTTAAAATAACAACATTCTGACTGCTTCATTGGTTATATTCCCAACAGTGATCTAACTTAAAATCATTTCACCACTATGCTTTTATTTCTTTCTCCTCTCTCCAATTATTTTCTTTCTTTCTCTGAGCTCACCTTTGGGTCAGCAGCAATGAAACAAAAGAAGCTGACTTAGTGGAGTTGGGATAGTGGCTATAGATAAGCAATGATGAATAAGAAATTACTTATGTGTGTGTCATAGACCGAGTGTTTGTGTCCCCTCTCCCTCAAATTTGTATGTTGAAGCCTTAACTCACAATGTGATGGTATTTGGAGACAGACTTTGGCAATTAGGATTAAATAAATTCATGAAGATGAAGCCCTCATGATAGAATGTGTTCTTTAAAAATAAAATAAAAAAAAAGGCACCAGAGAGGACTCTCTCTCTCTCTTCAGGCATGCACCAGGGAAGGCCATGTGAGCACACAGCAAGCAAGTGGCCATGTGAAAGCCAGGAAGAAAGCCCTCACCAAGAATCAAATCCACTGGTGCCTTGCTCTTGGACTGTCCAGCCTCCAATTTTTATTATTTAAGTCACCCAGTCTGTGATATTTTGTTGTGGTAGCCTGAACTGACTTACATAGCATGGAATAGACCTGATGCTATTGATCTGAATAGCCTTGTAAATCTTGAATATTCTGGATCCTCTATTAGCACTGGAACATGTCAGGAATTATTTTATTTGCTCATTTATTTATATTAACAGTCTTAGAAATGCTTGTAAGCAACACTTTTATCAAAGACCATCTTATATCAAAGTAGAATTCTTTAAAAATGTTAAGCTTTGCAGTCATTGTAAATGTAAGTATAAGCATATTTCAAGATGCGGTAAGAGACTAATGCACCAAAAGTTCAAATGTAAAATCAATTTAACTGAAACAAATTATTTTCAGTCATTCAACAAAATTAATGAAATTTCTTCTAGATGGATATGGTGCTAGATGGGCATGAACTGTGCAAGGTTGAGGGGGTAGTAAGAAATTAAGAAATGAGTAAGACATGGCCCTTCCTGGGCTTGATCCCTGACATCCAAAAACCTGTCATATCCACCCGAAGAAGCTTCTGCAATAATTAATTTGTCTGTGTCTATTATAGGCATATTCATCATTGACTCCATTTTTTAAATTCTTATTCATATGCTATTTATTGTGACTTTAGTCCATACTGTGAAATACATGTTCTTATTCCCAAAGTGATCATTTTTCTAAGTATATAGATAGGAATCAATTTGATTTTCAGAGTTAGTACAGCCTAGTAACACATCACTGCAAAAAAAAAAAAAAAAAAGGAGGAGGAAAAAAAAAAAGCCAAGCTCAAAAGTTATTCACTTAGATACAAAAACAGACTCTTCAAAGGCTTACAGGCTGCATTTAAGTCTCTCCATTGGAGATAATGAGACACCATCTGCGTGCCACTCATTTACAGAGTTTTATGTAGCCAGAAAAGAATGATCAAATATCCATCCAGAGCCAATTGTACCATCTATTTTTCTATAGTACATAATATAAATGCATATAATTATTTCAGAAACTAAATTATTTTTATTAAAAGAAATATACTTTTGAATATATTTAATCTTTTAATAACATCTTGTGGCAGGAAAAATGTATTTTCTCTTTCAAAGAATATGTGAGTTGAGTGCTTATCCACACCACTTTCATACTTGTTTTTAAAAAAAGTAATAAACTTTAGTGTCACCTTCACCCATGTTTAGAGGAGAATAAAATGAAAGTCCAACAGCAGCAGCAAAATGAGTTAGGATTGAAACATTTTCCCTACCGGAAAAGAAGTGAAGAACTAACTTTTATAGGCTCAAAAGTGGATTTTAGAAACATAATATTGTGCTGGTGCAGTGGCTCATGTCTGTAATCCCAGCTCTTTGGGAGGCCAAGGCAGGCGGATCATAAGGTCAGGAGTTTGAAAGACCAGCCTGGCCAATATGGTGACACCCCATCTCTACTAAAAATACAAAAATTACCTGGGCATGGTAGCACATGCCTGTAATCCCAGCTACTTGAAAGGCTGAGGCAGGAGAATTGCCTGAACCCGGGAAGGGGAGGCTGCAGTGAGCCGAGATCACAACATTGCACTCCAGCCCAGGTGACAGAGTGAGACTCCGTCTCAAAAAAAAAGAGAAAGAAACATAATATTGGCCGGGAATTGTGGGTCATGCCTGTAATCCCAGCACTTTGGGAGGCCGAGGCGAGCAGATCACCTGAGGTCAGGAGTTCGAGACCAGACTGGCCAACATGGTGAAACTCCATCTCTACTAAAAAAAAAAAAAAAAATTAACCCGGGTGGTGGCAGGCACGTGTAATCCCAGCTGCTCAGGAGGCTGAGGCAAGAGAATCACTTGAACCCAGGAGTCGGAGGTTACAGTGAGCTGAGATTGTGCCACTGCACTCCAGCCTGGGCGACAGAGTGAAACTCCGCCTCAGAGAAAAAAAAAAAAAGAAACATAATATAAATCAGAGATAATCTCCCATTGTGAAATGACTTTTTGTTTAAAAAAAGTTCCCTATACCCTAAAAGTATACAGGGGAATATTACATCCAAATAATAATAATAATAAACTGTTCACAGAGCAACTGCTTTCAGACCAATTCAATACTAAAGTATACGACATAAACTTTTGTTTGCCTCTAAAAGACAGAAAGTAGGGTTGTAAAAGGCTTTACTCTTCTGAAACTATTTTCTCATATATAAAATGGTGTCCTGTGGTAGCTCTAAGATACTATTTAGCTAAAGCAGTTTGTCCTCACATAGGATAACATCAAAAAAACATGTAATGGGCAGGTGTAAAGTTCACACATTGTTAATGAAAAGGAAAACTGAGAATCACAGCTAAGAGGTTTATAAATAAACTAAGTAAATATTACCTAGATATTATTGATAAATATTTAAAACTTTTTGAAATTTTTTTTTTTTTAGATGCCAGGGGTATATGAGCTTGTTTTTTACATGGGTATATTGTATCATGGTGGGAATTGGGCTTCTAGTGCGCCCATCACCCAGATATTGAACATTGTACCCAAAAGGTCATTTTTCAGCCCTCAGCAGCCTCTGATCCTCCCCTTTTGGAGTCCCCAGTGTTTATTATCACCATCTTTATGTCATGTATACCCATTATTTAGCTCTTGCATAAATGAGAACATGTGGTATTTTTCTGTTTCTGAGTTAGTTCTGTTAGGATAATAGCCTCCAGCTCCATCCATGTTGCTGAAAAGAACATGATTTCATTCTTTTTATGGCTGCATACTATTCCATGGTAATCTATGCCACATTTTCGTTATCCAGTCAACCCTTGATGGACACTTAGATTGGTTCTACAACTTTGCTATTGTGAATAGTGTTGTAATAAACACACAGGTGCAGGTGTCTTTTTTATATAACGATTTTCTTTCCTTTGGGTAGATACCCAGTGGTGAGATTGCTGGCTCAAATAGTAGTTCTATTTTTAGTTCTTTAAGAAATCCTCAAAGTCAAAAGACAACAGATGCCAGAGACGTTGCAGGGAAAAGGGAATGCTTATATGCTGTTGAAGGAAATGTAAATCAATTCAGCCACTGTGGAAAGCAGTTTGAAGAGTTCTCAAAGAACTTAAAACAGAGCTAACATTCAACCCTGCAGTCCCATCACTGGGTAAATACCCCAAAGGAAAATAAATTATTCTACCAAAAAGATACTCACACTCCTATGTTCATTGCTATGATATTCACTATAGCAAAAACATGGACTCAACCTAGATACCACTTAATGCAGATTGGATGACAAAAATGTGGTACATATACTCCATGGAATACTATATAGCCATAAAAAAGAATTAAATTATGTCTTTTGCAGCAACTTGGATGCATGCAGCTGGAGGCCATGATCCTAAGCTAATTAATGTAAAAACAGAAAACCACATACCTCATGTCCTCATTTGTACATGGGAACTAAACACTGACCACACATGGACACTGCAAACTACTAGAGGGAGTAGGGATGGAGAGAGTGGGGCATGGATTGAAAAACTATCTATTGGGTAATATGGTGTATCTTGGATGAAAGGACACATACCCCAAACCTCAGCATCACACAATATACCTATGTAACAAACTTGTACATGTACCTCCATATCTAAAATAAAAGTTGAAAATTGAAAAAAAAAGAAATCTCCATACTGTTTTTCATAGAGATTGAACTAATTTACATTCCCACCAACAGGGTATAAGCATCCACTTTTCTCCACATCCACACCAACATCTGTTGTTTGGCATTTTAATAACAGCCATTCTCCCTGATGTAAGATGATACCTCAAAGTAGTTTTAATTTGCATTTATTTGATGATTAGTGATGTTGAGCATTTTTTTTATGTGTTTCTTGGCCACTTGTATTTCTTGTTTTGGGAAATGTCTGTTAATGTCCTTTTCTGAGAAAAACTATTATTTTTTTAGAGGCAAAAATTTGCATTCAAAAGAACCCAAGTCATCACTAGGTGATCAATAGGTCCTTAGGAAGATGAGAGTAATGAATTACAGATACCAGGAGATGAGAATTACTTTAGATAGAAGTCCATCATCAGTCACACCAAGAGAAGGCAGCAGAAGAACAGACCCCTGTCCACTGTAATATCTCACTCTTATCCATAAGTACAACCTTTAATCAGCCTCTACTGCTCAACTCGAATCACACTGAAACCTTCCCTGATGTCCCAATCAGATTCACCTACTTCTCTTCACATAGTCTTATTTAATAATGACGACTTTCAGAGAGCTTTCCCTCTCTGTGTATCAGAGCCTGGCAGAATCTCCGATACATAATAAGTGCTTAGTAACTATTTTTGGAATGAATGGGAAAATTTCTCAAAATATTGCTTTGATATTTCTAGAGTTTTCCTCCTCAACATTCCTACAAGATGGTTTCAGGAACAAAAAAAAAACAAAAAACAAAAAACAAAACAAAAAAAAACAGGAAAGGAGGGAGGAAAGGAAAAGAGGCCCACCTAAGGATCAATAATAATGAGAATTCCCTGAGTAGGAACTCAGATTTCCTTATAGCTTAATACTCACCACAGAGCCTAGCACAATGTCTTGTGTTCAGTAACACTAGATAGGGAAGATTTGTGAATTTGAGTTATATTAGCTCTGTTTAGATGAAGGATAATTTTTATCCCATTTCCTATGCTTCTACAAGTCCTAATATATTTGAGGTTGTTGAGATCAACCACGGTCTTATGTTTCTAGATCTTTGTTCTTCCCCCTTTGTCCTCAGGCCCTGACTCTGGTTATTCCTTTCTCTATACTACCCTTTTACGTTATATATACTATATAACCTCACTGGTTATGCCAGCTTACAATTCTATGTGCCATGGTGCTTATTTCTGTGCCAGTACCAGCAAAGTGGTTAGTTAGCCAAAGTAGGCATCGAATAGTAGTTTGTCAATGACGACCCCTCCAGAACCAACAATCCACTGGTCTCCCATGTCCCTTCCTCCTTTCATATTCTCACTTCCCAACATATCCATCTTAGATTTCAAGGCCCAGCTCTGTAATCACTCTGGTGTATCCACTTTCAGCTCTCCTGGTCTTCCGTTGTTTAGTTGTACCTGTTTGGCAAACTCCAGTCCTGCTTAGATCTAATATTCCATCTACTGCTCACCTGTACCTAAGGACTTAAATGTATATAAAGATAAACTGCATTAAATGTTTGAAGTGTTGATCTCATTTTAAATTCATAATTGATAACCTCAAATGAGTTCATAGTTTCACCCAGGAAATCTACTGTATTTCCTCAGAATATTCACTCTATTAGTCCGTTCTCACACTGCTATAAAGAACTACCTGAGACTGGGTAATTTATTTAAAAAAATGGTTTAATTGACTCACAGTTTGTCAGGCTATACAGAAGGCATGGCTGGGAGGCCTCAGAAAACTTACAATCAAAGAGGAAGCCAACACATCTTACATGGCAGGAGTAATAGGAAGAGAGCAAAGAGGGAGGTGCTACAACCAGATCTTGTGAGAACCCTATCAGGAGACAGCACTAGGAGGACGGTGCTAAACTGCTAGAAACCACCACTATGATCCAATCACCTCCCACAAGACCCCACCTCCAACACTGGGAATTACAATTCAACATAAGATTTGGGTGGGGACACAGAGCCAAACCATATTAACTCTCCAACTCTTCTAAATAATTATGTTTTTTACCTTCTTCTCAAACTTCCAACAGTTCCTCTCCTTCTTCATTTTTATCAGATAACCTCAGTTCCTACTGAGAAAACAAAAGCAATCAGAGGAGGACTTGTTCTACCACATCTACCCAATTATTACTTCTAGCCCTGTCTTTCCTTCTGTTCCCTTTATGGACAGACTGTCTCTACTCCTATCAAAGCCAACCCTGCCGTTGCGTACTCGATCCCTTCCCTCTTATCTATTCCATCAATTCTTTCCACTATGTCATTTCTATCTTTAGACAAACAGGCCATCATTTCTTTAATCTTAAATAGACACTCCGTCTTCCTTCCTCCATCTCTTATACCACTTTCTCCTCTACTATTCCATTGCTCTTCTGCCCTTTACAGAAAAGTCCCTCAAAATAGTTATCTATACTTGCTATTTTCAATTCCTCTCCTCCTATTCTCTCTTGAACTCTCTCCAAATCATACTTTTCATGCTTTTGTTTTCAGCACCTATTCGCCCATGACCTCCATGTTGCTAAATCCAATCATCCATTTTCAGTTCTTATGTTAGCTGAACTATCAGAAGAGTTCTTTTGCTGTTTCTTCCAAATCTTCCTAACTACTGAACAATCAG
Organism: Homo sapiens; assembly: GCF_000001405.40. Taxonomy (NCBI): domain Eukaryota; kingdom Metazoa; phylum Chordata; class Mammalia; order Primates; family Hominidae; genus Homo; species Homo sapiens. Next base: position 38,653,519 of record NC_000014.9, read on the forward strand.
TTGCCTTAGATTTCTCTTTTTTTCTACCTATATTCACTCTGTTAATGATCTCATCCAGGTTCATAGCTTCAAGTACCATTCACAGAAAAAATGACCCCAAATTTATATCTCCAGCCAGACCTCTCACCTGAACTTGATAGTCATATGCCCTACACCACCTCAACATCTACTTTGAAGGTCTAACAGGATCTCAATCTTAGCCTTCCCAAAGGTAAACTCCAGGCTTCCCAGATACCTGTTTCCAAAATTTTTCATTTCAGTAAATGCAATTATATCCTTTCACTTCCTCAGTATAAATCTTAAAGTCATCCTTCACTCCTCATATCCTATGTCCAATCTATCAACAAACCCTGTTGATTCTACAATTTTTCTCTCTCGCCCTCTTTCCTTCTCGATAGCTAAAGATCTACATATCTATAAATATGTGACAAATAACCACTTTTCACCACTATCTCCTGTCACCATCTTCCCAAACCACCACCACCACGTACCTGAATTACTGCAATAGCTTTAACTAGTCTCCCAGTTTTCGCTTTTCCCCCTTCATCTATTCTTAACATAACCACCAAAGTGATGCTTTTAAAACATACATTTAAATCATGTCACTACTTTTGTCAAAGCCCACCTATGGCTTCCCATCTCAGAGTTAAAATCAAGGTCTTTATAATGGCTACAAGGCTCTCTACCATCTGGCTTTTATTACTTCTCCAACCTCATATGTTATTGTTCTCCCCTTGGCTCATTTCATTGCAGCTTTACTAGCCTTGTTGCTATTATTTGAAAGTAGCAGCAGAAAGTAGCAGCATCATTTGTACTTGCTTTTCTCTCTGCCTGGAATGCTCTTCCCCCTATATCCACATGGTTTACTTCCTCACCTTCTGTGGGTCTTTGCTCAAATATTGCCTCAGTGAGGCTTTCCTTGTCCACCCAGTTTTAAATGGCAACTCCTTCCTTATACCTTCCCAGTACTCCTTGCCTCCTTCCCTGCTTCATTTTCCTCCACAGCACCTATCATCATCTGTTGAGTTCCCCAGGAATATAGTTGCCAGATAAAATACAAGATACCCAGTCACATTTGAACTTCAACTTATTTATAGGCTGCAGGACCTTACCTGCAATGGAGAATGGTCTTTGCCTTCCAGCTTGTTACAGAAAGGAACAAATTCCATCTCAAAGGTTTGTTTGGGAATTCAATTCTCTGTAGCCCAGCACGAAGAACCGTGCTGAGAGAAAAATCCAAATGCTAAGATTGCTTATTTAATCCAGCTCTAAATCGTTGTGTGGCCTACCTCTGCTCATGTTAAACATCTTGACTTTGTAAAGAAGATTCTCAATATAAAGCATTCCCAGGGCTTTATAAGAAAGTCTCTTTAGAATTTCTATTCTGTTACACCAGAACGGTTAATTCTGCTCTGTTGATGTCCCTAAGTAGACTGTGAATTATTAATGGCAGAGGCCACATATGATTATTCTTTAAATATCCTTGGTTCCTAATACAATACCCAATTGATATTCAATGAATGTTTATTAAATAGCATATGATGTTTTAGACTTAGACTAATTTTTGTCACATTTTAGATGGCTATTTTAATGAATCTGGCCTCTGAAATGCATCAAATAGGCAATTTCTACAGACAGCAACATTTATAGGTAGCAAGCTTCATGGGGTGCTTCCGGCTTCCTCTAATATACCACATTTCTGAAAGATTTTAAGTAATTTTCTACACCTTACCTTATTTGTCATGATTGTTTTGCTTCTTAAGGAATCGGCATGGAATACAAACACATAAGAATTTTCTAAAAATTAAACATTATATACAGAGTTCCAAACAGCATATTTCTATTTAAATTACACTCTTTCAAATTATGTAAAGAATATTTGAATGTCAATCAAGACAAAAATACTAAGTATCAGGTATAAATCAGTAGCCTTTAAAAATGTACAAGGGATCATTGTTCTGCTGTGTTTAGGAAGTGGAAGCAAAGCATGCTCAAGGATGTGTGCGTGTCTATTCCGAGAGACTGGAAGAGGGATGACAGAGTGAAGTGAAGGACCTTATTTTACACTTCCAGGAAGCTAAAAAGTGCTGGAGGTTGACTGAGCAACTGTAGGAGAAAGAAGTCCTTTCCCTACATGATCTGTGAGTTCTGAAAGGTTGTAATAGATGCTCTCACAGTGCAAGGGACAGCTATGGCATAAATACATGTGGACAGAGGAGGTGGTGTGATTAATCCAAAGTCACAATCAATTCAGAGCTGGATTCGACTGAGGTGTCATTGCAGGAAAATAATGCTGCTAAGAAGACGATAGAACTTTCAAAGGTATATAGAGTAAGTTTTATATATTGTAACATATAAATCACCATATAATCTGTTCTAAATAGTTTTATGTGAAATTTCCATCAAAAGTAGAAAGAGGAAAAAAATTAAAACCCTACCACTGTAAACTTATGTATTCTTTGTCCCTCCCTCATTAAATTTTTACTCTCAAAGTTTTGCTACCCCAAAATCTTATATTGTGTAGGTCTTTGGGAAATGGCAAAATGGCACGGTCTGGGGAGAAAGTGTCCACACTGCCCCCACCCCATGGTAGCAATTACGTCTCCTGGGCCAGACTTTCTCTCCCAGCCTGGCTCCTGGGGAGATGGTGAGCCTCATGTTCTCCCCTCTATTCCAGATCAGAATGTTAAGCCTACCCACGTAGGGTAAATGTTTCTCACAAAGGACCTCAGATACTCTTGGACTTCATTAAATTTCGCTTAAAAATGAGACAAATAGCCACAGCAGAATTTCCAACCACAGCATGAGTCGGCAGTTCAGCAGCCCATCTTCACCCTGGCCAGCCAGGCAAAAGACCTTCCCCAACTAAGCAGGCTTCATGAGCAGCCAAAGTTCATGCAGAGGGGCCCAGACACTGATCACATGTTAGCTCTGGTCCTGTAAGGGGCTTTCTCCCAGCTGCAATGACTTGCCTAGCACTTACATTAATCATTTAAAATCAAGCCTCAGATTCAAGAACATTCAGGTAGAAATTAAGCACTAACCTATAACAACCAGATAATTAGGAAACATCACGAGATTTTGTGAAAGAAATAAGGTTTTAAGAGAAATAAGAATAAACTATGTTTTACATCTAAAACACTAAAATCTTAGTGTTCTGAGGATTTTTAAAAATCTTATAAAAAAAGATCCTTTTAAAAAGTAAATAGCCATATATATTGGTGAATGAACTCATTCTTATACACTGAAAATCCTAGCACTTTGCCAACAGCAGAATATTTTTTAGTTGAAAGAAAATAGAATAAACAGTACAAGTATAATTATGATGCATGAGCCAATGTGTTCAAATGTTGTCTTATTGGCTTTGCTTTAAAATAAGATTTTTAGACTGAGATACTTCAACTTTGGTAAATATTAGCAATTGCTTGGTCAATATAGTGACATTCCTTATTTTCAATCACCAATCATTATCATTATTCCTTATTTTCAATCACCAATATGCCAGATAGATAAATTTATTTAAGTTGGGTTCTTAAATTTCCTTACTGTAAAAACTGGATGATTTGCTTAACCACAAATATTTCCTGACCATCTATGATGCCCACATCACAGAAATGAACACAGTAGAACACAAAGATGTAAGTTTTCCTCTCTAAGATTTTATCTACCTGATGGGGAGATAAATCACACACAAGAATGACAAACACAGATAAATAAAGTGACAGTACTTGGCATGGTCCAGATAAAAGGATTTTGGAGAGCCAAAAGCAAAAAGAACATTCATTTTTAGAAGTCAGAAGAAAAGCATCATAGAAGAAATGGACTTAGAGTTGTACAAGGGGAAACATGAAGGGTTCAATCTTAGAAACAGGATGTGTTTTCTGGGATGGAAAGGTGACCCTAGAGAGAAGAGAGACTGTTATCCACCCTTTCCACTAAAGGTTAGCTTTTCAATTGCTCATATGTATGCATCATGTTATGTTAACTCCAGAATGCACTGACTTTGGTTAATCAGATTTTAATTCAATTTCTTATATAAAGATTTTCCATTCTAATTTCAGCTTCTTAAATATTCTATATCCTTGTTCTTTGCCAATATTCATATTTCTGTAATTCCTATGGCTAGAATTAATCATTCTCAAGGGTTGTCTAACTCTGCAGGATCGTATAATCACATGCTGTTTATACAGAGTCCCCTGGGTGATATTTTGGTCCTCCTCTTTTTTATCTTTCATAGCTTAGTTCACTATCAGATCCATACTGAGCAAGCCCCATTGTATCTCTATTAAATATACACAAGAAGTGACAGAAGACTGGTGATATCACCAAAATATCTAAAGGAAGACGGCTTGCAGAATTTATGTTTTTGAAAATATAATGATGTTATAGATGAAGATTCCATTTTAGACATAAAATTCCTAAACCCCAAGGCTATCACTGTGGGTTCCAGAAATGATCCCCTACCAAAATTTTCACAATTAAGACAGTACCGTCCACTCTTCTGCTGAACAGAACTCTGAAATATAGGGCACATGTTTTTTCATGACTCCTGTTTTCCTTTAGCCTCCCCACTCACCTCCACTTTCCCTTTTCTCTTTCAGGACCAAACAGCTTTCTCCTTACAGATCTAAGGTTCTCCCTCTGTCACCTGTCATATAGAAAAGAGATTTAGATATTATTTTATAATGAGATCTTAAGGGCTTAATACGCTGCCCTCAGTAACTATTTTCATTTCAAAAGAGGACCACAGCAAAAAGGCAATGCTTTGCTCAAGGGAAAGCATTGCCATAAATTGAATTAAAGGCATGTGAGAGGAAAGATGTTTTTCTTTTTTAGTGGGAGAGTTGTTTGAGGAGTTTCTGATTATCATAAAGCAGCAAACATCTTCTCAACACTTTATTTATTTTACTCTTATACAATTAGCTAGCATCTCTCTTCTAATGACTATGTGGTAGTATTAACAGTATTAATAAAGATAACAGCTAATGTTTGAATGCTTGTTGCTATTAATAGCTAATATTCATTGCACACTTATCTAAGCATTTTACGTGTATTGTCATTTAATCTTCATCATTATTCCTAACTTAAAGGTGAAGATGCTGAGGCACAAAGAGGTTAAGAATGCACCCAAAAAGCTGGAATCAAATCCAGGAAGTATAAACAACTAGATCTCGACTGCTAAGAATTAGTAGCCACAGACTCACAGGGAAGAGTAACTAGCCCATGTGCACCTAGACGCACAGTGTTAGGTTTTTCCTTAATGGTGACCTGGTTAAAGCCATGGGAGGTGTCCTACTCTTCCGTCCAACCTCCTCCAACACCACACCCAGGGTCTGCCTTCATCCTTCTTGGTTTCTCCAGCTGCTCAACATGACACCAACACATTTTACCTGTTCTTCTTCCTACCTTCCTTTTTTCCTCCCCTTCACCATCTCTGCGCTTCAAGAGAAAACAAATGAAGGTGCTGATGTTGCCTTCCTGTGAGATTCCAGGTGAAAACTGGTTAATCTGATTAATCATTCTTGCTGCTTTTATTGCAGCAACCACTTTGAACTGTTGTGCTAAAATATAACCGTTTTCCATCTCATAAATGTCTATGAAAAGTGTAAACAGTGCTTTCAGAGAGCAATTTATTTTGGAATCCAGTTTCACAGAATTTTAAAGCTAGGAAAGTCCTTAGTGGTCACCTTGAACAGCATCCTCACCACAGAGGTGATGAAACTAAGACCCAGGGAGTTCTTGTGACCTGGCTAAGGTTGTGCAACTAGCTTGCTCCAGGTACAGAACTCCAGGTATAGACTTTTCTGACTTCCCTCCAACTAATTCAGTAAAAAATGTAACAGGCATTTTTTTAATATGTCAGGTACTGAGAATACAAAAGTAATCTAGTGACCTTTCCACTCCATGTTTCTTGATTAGAGTCAAGTTGTAAACATTTCTATGGTGAGAGTATCCTCAGCTACTAAAAGAAACAGTGATGTCTTCACATTCACAGAAAGAAACTCTGAGAAGAGCTGCCTTTCTCTTTCCTTTAAGATAACATGGAGTTAGATTGTAATATGAACTATTGGAGCCAGCAAGAACTTCATGAAATATCTATCCACATATTCATAATATAACCCAAACCTCCTTGTTTTACCAGTGAAATAAAGAGGAATCATGGAGGTTACCTCGTGTTTTGCTTTTTTCACCACCATCTGCACCACCTACCTACCTTCTGGGTAGGAGTAAAACAAAATTTTCAAAAAGAGAATATGAGATTCCAAAATGTTATGCTTCCAAATCACTGAGACTTTTTTACAACTTGCATCAGGGGAAGAAAGATGAATCTTTCTTCCTTCTCTAGCAACAACGTATGTTGGCAGAGAAATGAAAGAAATGAAAAGACAGTACCAGTCTCAGTGAACCACTGGCCAAGCAAAAGGTAGGCATGACGCTCTCCAGATGGATTTTGCTGGCAATTTTAGGAAGTTATGTGAACTTTTGACCCAAAACTGGACATTATCTTTGAGTTAGGAAAAATCTTAAGACAGCTGTGACTCCAACATGAAGATTCAAGGTGAAAACAAGATTTTCAGCACCGCTGGTCGATGCTGACACCCAAGGGTAATAATGTCACAACGATGATGATCTTAGAGAACAAAAACCTGCAATGTGTCTAGTTCTTTTTGCCTTTTTTCTAGTCATGCAACTAGTCATAAATTTTGACATTGTTTCCTATATAACATGATCACTGCTTGCTTCTTCCTTGAAAACTATTTTTCATTATTCGCTGGTATTTGGAGACCAAATTTCAATGTGTGGAATGTATGCCACTTAAATAGATTTGACGGTCCTCTGCCTATTAGAGATGCTCCAAAGTGGAAACATAACTGTTATTGAGGGGTTGAAGCCATTCTATAGTCATTTCTCAGGGTTTGTAACATGTGAGGGAGCCTAAACTAAAACATGAATAATGTTTTTTAATATACCAAAGGCTGACTGCCTTAAGTTGTTTTTCTCCCTGCTTAAACCAAAGCACAATAGGAATAAGTGTTATTGCAATTCAAAATCCATTTCAAGCCAAGCATGAATAATAAATTATGAATACTTTAAATAATGAAAATATGCATATGAAATGTTAATATTTTTATGTCCATAAAGTAGTAAATATAAGGTCAAAGAAAACCCTCAGACCCCTCCTAAACTATGAATACACTGAAAAATAATTCAGTAATCAGGATGGAAAAAAAAATTCATAGCGTGGAAGTAGCTGTTAGGGAGAAACTACCAAAGACTGGCCTTATATTTATAAAATAATATGATTGCCTTTTTGATGATTTTATTCAAAAATATCTATTGAATATTACATGTCTAATATTTATTGAGTGCCAACTATGCACCAGGCATTCTACATATTGACTTCTTAAATCCTCATAACAAGTCTTTGAGGTAGATATTAGCTTGAAACATGCAAATTCCCATCTTTGTGGGTCAAAAGGGTCAAATATTGGCAAATACATAGAGTCCGACCTGAATATTAATGTTTTCATTTTATAGGTGTCTCAGATAAATTAAGTAACACGTCCAAATACCTGGTAGAGTTGGAATTTCAATCCTCAGTCTTTTATAACCCCATTGTACCCTGCTTTATCTGAAGTAATTATAATTAAATTATCCCACAGCCCCTCAAACTACAAATGTACTGTCCTCCCTCTTACTCAAACCGAAAGACCCAAATGGTTTCAGTGCCTTATCTTTAGGTTAAGGATTTGATTCTACTAGAATCTTTCTTTCTCTACATACCCACCGCCCTTCTTTCATAAGCCTAATTGTACCTTCATTGTCACTGCATTTGCAGAACCAAAATTTGGAACATGTGATTAGAAATAAACGTGTATTTATGAGAACAAGGATATAAAATAATTGCAATTGATAACTGTCATTCAAATCAGTGGGGGAAAGATTAAACTATTCAATGAATAGTATTGAAGTGGCCAATTTTTAGAAGGAAAAAGTACAATTAATTCCCTTCTTTATGATATAATTACATAATTTTGACTTTTCAAATTGCTAAATCTGAGCAGCCAAACCTAAAAGAATATCTTTGGGACTTAGAATAGAGAAGTATTTCTTAGATAAGACACAAAATATCACCTAATTTTCAACATACAATAAAAGATCTAGTAAAGTTAAAAGACAAACTACTGTTTGGTAGAAAATATCTGTAACACATACAACTAAAGATTAAACATCAGAATATATAACAGAACTCCAAGAAATAGGTTAAAAGAAAAAAAAAGACAATCTTAATAGAAATAGGAAATTCACATAAAAGGCAAATTACCAATAAATATATAAAAACATGCTGTCTCATTAGAATTTGGTTAAAATATTAATATTAGGTAAATTATTAAGAAAGAATTATCATCATACACATATGACCTGGGCTGGGTGTGGTGGCTCGCGCCTGTAATCCCAGCACTTTGGGAGGCCAAGGCAGGTGGATGGCCTGAGGTCAGGAATTTGAGCCCAGCCTGATCAACATGATGAAACCCCGATTCTACTAAAAAACCACTACAGCATAGTGGCACACACCTGTAATCTCAGTAACCTGGGAGGCTGAGGCAGGAGAATTGCATGAACCCGGGAGGCTGAGGTTGCAGGTGAGCTGAGACTGAGCCATTGTACTTCAGCCTGGGTGACAAGCATAAAACTCCGTCTCAAAAACAAACAAACATATGACCTGAACACCACCATGTAATTGTCTTTATGTGGCCACCACAATCTACTTGCAGCTCTCTGAGAGTAGTTTCTATGTTTTGTTGCTATTATGAAACACCTGTAATTTTGTGTGATACAAAATACTGTAGCACTTCTAGTGGTGAACAGAGGCAATCAGAGGCACCATGGCTGGGGCAGGGGTTGCCAGAGAGTAGAACCAAGACACTCTCCTTTCCCTCAGAAACTGTACAGAAGTGTTTCATAGAAACACTATCATAGAAACACATTCATAGAAAAACTATCAAGCACTTCTTATGCACTAGGTATTTGCTAGATGCTGTATAATACATCTGAGAGGCTTCTAAGAAAAATAAAAGACTTATCTAGGCCTTGAAAGTAAATTGAGAGAGAGAATAATGTAAATCCAGGGTTCCCAAACTCTAGCATGGATCAAAATCACCATGAGAGTTTGTTAAAACACAAATTTCTGGGCTCAACTCAGAGTTTCTGATTCAGTAGATCAGAAGTTGGGGCCCAATAATTTGCATTTTTATCAAATTCCCAAAATATGCTCATGCTGCTGATCCAGCAATCGTATGTTGAGAACCACTCACATGAACTGTTGTAAATTGGAGAAGCAGAATGAGCAGTCTCACAGACGACGAACTCAATAAAAGGAGTCTGGCCTGTCTGGAATGTAAACATGGCTATTAAGCTACTTGGTCCCCTGAAGGCAATTGACCTCAGTGCAACCTGGAGCACTCTCTTAGCTCTGATCCCACTGCCACCTACCACAATCCCAGCACCTGGCACAGCCAGGGACAGCTGCCAACCATCCATCCAAGTTAGAAGGCTTAAGCAAGTATCCAGTAGGAGTCACTCCCTTACCTCCACTTTTCCTACAATCTGTCTCCATGGAGTTGCTTATTAAGGCCAAGTGAGTCTATAAGCCTCTCTGCAAAAAGAAATTTTCCTTAAGGCATTCAAATGTTTCACTGCTTTATAAGACCTTTTAAGAACACTTACATTTATAATGCAGATTTAACATGTGCACAACTTTTTTGCACAACTGTTTAAAATCTTGTTCCAAAGACTTGTAGAAATTAAATTTTCTAACTCATTCCCAGAGAATGCTAGTCTTTAATCTACGATGAATTCCCTGGTTCTCTTGTGTTCCTGACTTCAAATGATACAAGGCATTTGTCTCACAATCTCTCACCAACAATAGGCCTTCCTAGCATATCTAGGCCTCATTTTGGGTTGTTGATTCTAAAAAGTGAGAAGTCTGAGGTTTAATCAATATTTTCCAGATTGATTAATGAACCTTGAGCCACACGCTACAGCTGAGCTCAAGGTTTATAAAGCACATTCAATGAGTAGTACTGCATTTTATCTTCTTTGTCTTATCAAGTAAATAAATAGAATCAATAAAGTGAACAGAGTAACTAAAGAGCAGCCCTCACAATAGAGACTACATTACCTGATTCAGTTTCTAAAAAATCTGAAGATTTTAAACCATCAAAAAAGAGCCTTGATCCTTATGCCTCTCTCTCTCTCTCTTTCTCATCTAACTATTACCCACTCTATCAACAATAATTTTAAGTCACACAGCTTAACTTTAAATTTAGCAATCCAGTAGGACCAAACTAAAAAAGTTGTCATGTGTCAAAAAAAAAATGGAATACCCAGGGCAATAAAATAAAAAAAGAAAACAAGATGACGAAGCTTACGTTACTACAGGAAACAAAGAGGAATTGTCATAACGTATTTTAAAGGTCACAATAATAATAAAACCTTCATGAACTCATTTAGAGTCTTCCCCTTGCAAAGAGATATTAAAGCTTCTATATAAACATGGGAAAGAGTGCTAGAATTTCTTCTTTCTATACTTGATGCCTCAAATGAAACCAAAGGACTATTTGAATTTTAGAGATAGCCTCTAAATGCTTATAGCTGTTCACAGAATGCTACAGTGAAATAGAAGGAAGGAGGGCTTCAGTTTTCCAGGAATTTTCTGCTTACTTTTATTAATTTAGGATGTCTGCTTTTTAAAAGAATGTAATCACTGACAACACAGGATACATCTAAAAATAAAATATCGCAACATTTTAAAAATTTCCGTAAATGATACAGACAAATTTGAAAATTTCAGATCAGCAAAAATGACTCTTTAGGCTAATCACAAACTACCACTATAGCTAAGCATATAATTATTTGTCCCAAGATATTTTCTCTTAATTTATTCTATTTATATGACCTACAATAAAGTTGAGTGCAGGCATAAAAGCAAATATATAATTTGCATTGTTTACAATAAAGTGTCAATAATTTAGAAGCAACTAAATTAGACTCTCATAAATTAACCATGTTGGGACTGAAGTTTGTATTCTCGCTACAAAATAATTTACTAAGTAAATCAATACTGCAAACACGATTATAGGACACATTTTAAGGACTTTATTATACTAATTATTTGAGGCAAATGATATTCCCAATGGCGATTTTTAGTTAGTTTTTAGTTTTAAAATTAAGCAAGGACCAAACATCACCACAACTGGATAGTTCTTATGCCTGCGTTTCCTTCAGTTCCTCCACATCTCAAGTAATTTTTGACTTACAGATGAAACCCCTGCAACACATCCATGCCTACCGCTCCCCATTTCATCCTGCGCTTACCCCCAAGTGCAACTCAACACAAGAGCTCTAGCTCTTGCTCCCATGGCAATCAGAAAACTCTGAATTCAAAAATAGAACTGAGAGAAGTAAGAAGTCAGACCCCAAGGCAGCCTGCCCTGTGGGGACGGACGGTCAGTCTACACTGCCTGCTTTCTCTCCTAAAGCCTCTCTTACCAAAATCTGTACCCATGCCCTCGAACTGCCATACAAATTACCACAAACCAGTGGCTTAAAACAACAGGAATTTATCCTCTCACAATTCCAGAAGGCAAATGTCTAAAATTAAGGTGTTCCAGGGCTACTCTCCCTCCAAAGGAACTCTGAAGACTCTAAGGGGAAGCTTAGCTTGCCTCTGCCAGCTCCTGGCAGCTCCTGGTGCTCCTCGTTCTGTGGCAGTATCACCCTTATCTCTGCTCCCTCTTCATATGGCCTTTTGCTCTGTGCATTAGCAGAGTGCATTTCTGTTGACAAGGCAATTCCACATACATCGTCCCCTTTGATGACCATATTCTTCCATTTAAGCACTAATATTTTCATTTTATCAAAGAAATAACTGAGCTCAGAATGGTCCAAGGTTACATGGCTAGTTAGGAGGAGGAAGAAGGAGGTTCAAGCCTTCCAAGTTCAAATCCAATGATATTCCCACCATACCAAGTTACTCCTTGCTTCCTTCACAGACCTTCTTTAAAAAAAAAAAATCAGTACACCCCTGAGGTGGCTTTTCAACAGGCTTTCTCAACTAACCCCAGCAGTCATTCTCAGCCCCAGCTATAAATCTGAATCTCCTGGACCTGGGACCCAGGCCCATATGTGTTTAACAAGCTACCTAGGTGATTCTGTCCAAGTGCAGCCAGAGTTGGGAACACTAGGATGAGGGATTTTAGATCCTTATCTTCCAATCTCTCTCTCTCTCTCTCTCTCTCTCTCTCTCTCTCTCTCACACACACACACACACACACACTGGTTTTTTGTTACTATCATTTTCTGAAAGCAAAAGTAACAATCACAACCATGTCTCTTACACAAGAAAATAAGATAATATACTATGTTTAACCTATTGTGACAATAGGGGTGCTAATGCAATGCTGAATGTTCTGTCTACTGCTGGTCAGAATTCCTGGACGCTCCTCAGGGCATCCTCATTGCTATAAACATGTAGGCTCTAGGGTCCAATTCTGTGATGCAGAGAAAAAGCTCAGTGCTTTGTTAAAGAAATAATAGACAAATGTGTGTGTCTTCCATGCTCCCTGCAATTTAGTTACTTTCCCTGACTCAATCACTTTTATAATATCTGCAGTATTAGGAGCTTTTACTCAAAACAGCACCAGCCATTTATGTATTGGCCAGGCTGTGCTTCTGACATAACTATTCCTTTAATCCGCAGCAAACCAAGAGGGCTTGATGGAGTTCATTATTGGCTTCAGATGGCAGAGGAGGTCTGGGACTGGCTGTGGCTGAGGTGACCCTCAACAGATGTCCTGCCGATAGAACTCTAAAGACACCAGGCAGGGCAGAAATCACATGCCGCACCCACAACAGGAAGTCCAGAGAAACCATACATCCCTGTCCTTATCTTCTGTTGGGACACAGGCTCCTTCTCCCTTTGTGCTGATCATGTCAGCCATATTGCAGCTGAAAGTTCTCTTGGCAGGTCAAAGAGCAGGGTTAAGAGGTCCAAGCACTCCGTGAGGAAATGCCAAACATTCGGTGTGGGTTCACACTCATGGCAAATCACAATGCCATTTTTAGATCAACTTTGTTTTTTAAAATGAGAGTTTTTATTGTGGGAAAAGTAGGCAAGTAATTTTTCAGTGCCATGTCATGACTATCTAATACGTATTTTGCAGGAAAGTTTTAAACGCAAATATTTGGGATGTCGTTCCATTGTACACTCTTCACTGAGTTAGTCTTCCAACTCAGATTCAGAAAAGATGGCATATGAAGAATTTTGCAATTAAAACTTCAGCATCAGGGTAGGTGATGGTGTGGTAGAAGGAATGGGGAGACTACATATGTCAAGCCCTAATCAACTTATTTCTTTATTGATCAGGTAGGTTTTAGGTAATGTAAGTTACCAGAGAGGTGTTACCTGAACCACATCTGAGAGGGTGGGGAAGTCCAGGTTGTCCTGCCAGGGAAATAAAATTTAATCTTAGTTTTTAAGGATCAGTTGAGGATAACTAGTGGCTTAAGGGCCTGGCTGATGTTTCAGTCAATGAGAGAGCATGGCCTGCTCAGATCTCCAGACACCCATACTGTTCCTTGCCTCCATGACATCCTGCTTTCCATTCCAGGAATGCCCTTCCTCCACTGATCTGCTTAGCAAGCTGCTATTCATTCTTCAAGAGCTTGTTTTTCTCTGTGACATCTCCCTAAGTTAACTACTCTCCCATGAGTATTTTTCTGTACACCTATCTATTCCTGCCACTCCACCTAACCCATTACCTTGTAATTGGTGGTTTATACATTTGTCTTCCTTACTAGGAGGACAGGAACTCGAATTCATTTGAAAGTGGAGATTGTTTGGAAAGGGTACTCTCTCTGAATTAGCAAATAATATGTGCTTATTGTCATAAATTGAGTATCAAAGTGACAAAAAGTTAATAGTCTCTCCATATCCTCCTTCAGTTCTAACCCTCTCCCTTGATAATCAATGTGTATAATTTCTCTCTAACTCATAATGAAACATATGAAAGGGGTTTACCCAAAAAATAGTATCCTACTCTATGCATTACTCTATAACTCATTTCTCACCTAACATTATATCACAGACATCTTTCAAAGTCAACAACTTTGATTTAATTTGTTTCTTTAATACTATGAAGTATAAAGTTAGGAGATAAAAATAAAAACAGAACAATTGGTAGAGATACATCACTAATTTGTCTTTGTGCTTTCCAGCAAATAATCCAAAAAGGATAACAAAGAATTTTATCATGTCCATAATTTAAAAATAAAAGCAATCCAGTTGTACCAAAAGCAAATTTTCTTCAGACTAGTTCTGAAGAGAAATTTATGTTGTGCTCCTCATAAAACAAGTTTAACTACAATGAGCAAATTATTTTCAAATGCCCTTATAGTAAATACGGCATCAGTTTCCCGGGTGGATTGTCAATGTCCATCAAAACTGTAATATCTCATAACTAGCAAAACAGCATAGAGCAGTTCAGTTCCAATTTCACTGGAAGAAAAAAGAAAAAAAGGCCTAAAGGCCGAGTGGTCTGCTCCTAAGTGAATGGAAATGAGAAAAGCTATAATAGAGTTTCATGAACTGGAGTCCACAGCCATCCACCCCTCTGCAGAAAAATATACATATATATAGAAATTGAACACAAAATTCAATTATATTTGTGCAGATCTGAATTTTTCAGGGAACAATACTTATTTAGATTTTTCCAATTCTCAGAGGTCTGTGACTCAAAAAATTTTTTTAAAAAAGATTTGGAGCCACTAATATGAAAAAGCACACGGCCTGTATACCTTCCCATAAATTCTCTATAAGTTTTATTTCTTTCAAAGAAGATTTTGACAGTCATTTGTTTACCCATGTAGCCTTAGTCCCCAGCATAGATCCTGGTACATGTAGGTGTTAGGGACTGAATGCTTGTGTGTTCTCCAAAAATTACATGTTGAAATCCTAACCCCCAATGTGATAGTATTAGGAGGTGGGGTCTTTGGGAGGTAATTAGGTCATTAAGGTAGAGCCCTCATTATTGGGCTTATTGGAAAAACACAAGAGGGATGATTTCTCTCTTGGCCATGTGAGAACACAACGAGAAGACAAATGTCTGGAACCATGAAGCAGGCCCTCACCAGACACCTGATAGACAGGCATCTTGATCTTGGATTTACCAGCCTCCAGACTGCAAGAAATAAATGTCTGTTGGTTAAGCCACTCAGTATTCTGTAATAACAGCCTGAACTGATCAAGACAATAGACTTGCAATAAATTTGTGTTGGATAAGTGAAAGTTGAGCAGGAGAGTGCACATGTTCTCAATAGCTGAGGAGACCTGGATGTTATGGCATTCTCTGTGGCTGTAACAGTCACCTGACCTGAGGAAAGTTGAGGATGCCACGAAGGAAATGGTACAGAATAGAAGGTAAGTGAGAAAGTGACCAATGGCAAGGCTAAAATTTTCCCCAAGAAGTAATTCGTAAATACCTCCAGTGCTTACATAAGTAAATGATCAGGGTCTTAGAGTGTCTCACCATAGATAGAGATTACCATAATTTTAGTAGCTTTTATATCACTTGCCTACAGAAGTATGTCAGCCTATCAAATTACGTATGTGTGTTCAATGGCAGTGGTTGGCAGTATTGATACACATTTTTCTCTTAAATGGACTGATCACTCATTTAGCTGTCATCTTGCATCTGCCACTAAAAGAGAGAAGACAAATTGACTCCATTTTTCAAACTCAGCAGAGTTATTTATTTTGTTAAGCACAACATATTCATCTCTGTTAGTTTTCATATGGCAGCAAGAGAGTCAAGCCATCGGGATGTAAAGCTAATTAATGGAAATAACCTTTGGATTACTAAACTGTCAGTCTGACACTGCTGATTAGATTATCATGGGAATATTCAGTTGTGAAAAATATTACTAAAATAAATCCAGATTTTTATTTTATTATAGGAAAGGGATTTCAGCAACTTTCTAATCAAGAACTCTTTGTTGTTGTTTGGCATGAGGGTAGTTGCAGTATTTTTCACTTTTTTCTTATTCTAATATTATGTAAACATAGCCCAAGATACATTATTTTTCGTGTGGGTTCTGCTCAGAGAAGAGACGTAACTCTGAATAAATTACTCACAAATTCTCTACTAGGGAGTGAGAAGGATGACATTTTGAAAGGCTCTTTTTGAGGCAAAAGAGAAAAAAGAAAATTTAAAAAGGAAAAGAAAATGACTATCCCAAAACAACCTATACCTTTTCAGGAATATAAACACCTTCATGCTAATGTAGCTGGAGAAAAATTTCATACAGTTCTTATCCAAAAAAAATGAATCTAAAGACTATCCTTAAAATATTAATTATCTCCTCTGTCATGAGTTTTCTCCTTCACCTTTCTTCCTTCTAAATGAAAATGTGGGTGATTCAGGGTTCTTTTCTTTGCATTAGAAAGCAGCTCTAAAGGAACACCATATTGATTTCGCTCTAAAGATTAGAAATCTCTGCTACTCAAAAGCTGTTAAATATGTTTACCTGAGAAACACAGGGATTGGGGTTTATTTTGTCCTCTCCATTTAAAAGCACCAAAAAGACGACTAAAAATTGACTCACTGATGAAGACCATTTCAACATATACTGCTCAGTCATACCTATCCCTTTCAAAACACTTTTTAATATTTTTAAATTCCTCTTGTTCTATCCTTTCACGAGAAATTATGATGCACCAAACTATTATACAGCAGTTGCTCATGGAAAAAATGTTTGAGGATAAATATTTTATACATCCTAAAAATGACTAGTCAAGTCTGTTATTACACAGTCAGTTTCTCAAACACCTTCATTCATTCAAGGTCAGAGCTACTGGAAATTCAGTGTAATATTCTTTTTGATGCATTAGTAAACACCCTAGAGCCAAGTAGAGCCAAAGACTTACTCCTGGAGAGTTAATTGTGCAGGCAATGTTCTTGGCATAGAGAAATAAAATTTATGGAAATTGCTGCTGTCAATGTGAGTCATAAACACAGGATCCAACCCTATAGCTGCACAACTCATCTCACCTTACCCTCAAACCTGTCCTATCTTTATTTAAAATTTCAACATTTTTTATCATAGGTTTTTGGTATGAATTTTGATTTTTTAAAATATTACATTGAAATATTACCTTCACTGCTGAAATTTTTGGCATATTTTTGAGTCATGTGCCCTAATCTCCCAGTGCCAGCCCTAACTATGACTTCCCCAGGGGTAGTCCTAAGTTTCTCTGCCAGAGGGAAGGATTATATTTAATTTTGATGGCCCTTTAAATTAAAAACATCACCTATTATATTTTTCTGCCTATGACTTTCAATACATATCCATAGTATTTACTTAGAAAAAAGTAAGCCAAAAAAAAGAAAAAAAATTAAAACACTCTAGTCCCGTTTAACAATAACCACCGTTAGTAACTTACTGTCCATACAGTAAGTATCATACTTTCCATACCTTTCTCTATTTGTGAAACATGTTTGTGTCAGTAAGGTACACAGATGATACATAAATGATTAAATACTTATAAGATATGGCTATATAACAATTTTTCAGATTAGCCATGTTTTAAAAGAAATAACATAATTTCATTTTTTATAAATTAGTATATTTATTTTTCTAAATATATTCTCTGTGAGTACAGATACTTTAAATATCTATACACATCGGCCCTTTTTCTCTCTCTCTCTCCTGCTGTAACTCTCATTCTCTCATCTTCTACCTCTATCTATCTACCTACATTTAACCTATCAATGGGTTAGAGTTATTATTCTTATTAATATCCCCATCAATTTGTCATAGCTGATAACATTATGGATTTGATATTGGACAGCCCAGGTTTGAATTCTAGATGTGTGTCTTTGGGCAAATTACATTAGTGCTTTAATCCTAAATGTTCATGTATGTCAAATAAATGTCATAGAAAATCCCTATCCTCATAGGGCTGCTGCAAGAATTAAGTAATCACTGTAAATGCTTACCATAGTGCCTGCTACTGAGTAAGCATATAAGTTATTAAAATTAAAATGAGAGATTCCCGTTCCAAGATGGCCAAATAGGAACAGCTCTGGTCTGCAGCTCCCAGCGTGATCGATGCAGAAGACAGGTGATTTCTGCATTTCCAACTGAGGCTCCACTGGTGATACCCGGGCATACAGGGTCTGGAGTGGACCTCCAGCAAACTCCAACAGACCTGCAGCTGAGGGACCTGACTGTTAGAGGGAAAACTAACAAACAGAAAGGAATAGCATCAACATCAACAAAAAGGACATCCACACCAAAACCCCACCTGTAGGTCACCAAGATCAAAGACCAAAGGTAGATAAAACCACAAAGATGGGGAAAAACCAGAGCAGAAAAGCTTAAAATTCTAAAAACCAGAGTGACTCTTCTCCTCCAAAGGATCGCAACTCCACACCAGCAACTGAACAAAGTGGGATGGAGAATGACTTTGACGAGTTGACAGAAGTAGGCTTCAGAAGGTCGGTAATAACAAACTTCTCCAAGCTAAAGGAGGATGTTCGAACCCATTGCAAGGAAGCTAAAAACCTCGAAAAAAGATTAGACAAATGGCTAACTAGAATAAACAGTGTAGAGAATACCTTAAATGACCTGATAGAGCTGAAAACCATGGCATGAGAACTATGTGATGCATGCACAAGCTTCAGTAGCTGATTCAATCAAGTGGAAGAAAGGGTAGCAATGATTGAAGAGCAAATTAATGAAATGAAGTGAGAAGAGAAGTTTAGAGAAAAAAGAGTAAAAAGAAATGAACAAAGCCTCCAAGAAATATGGGACTATGTGAAAAGACCAAATCTACGTCTGATCGGTGTACCTGAAAGTGACAGGGAGAATGGAAACAAGTTAGAAAATACTCTTCAGGATATTCTCCAGGACAAGTTCCCTAACCTAGCAAGGCAGGCCAACATTCAAATCCAGGAAATAGAGAGAACACCACAAAGATACTCCTCGAGAAGAGCAACTCCAAGAAACATAATTGACAGACTCACCAAGGTTGAAATGAAGGAAAAAATGTTAAGGGCAGCAAGAGAGAAAGGTCGGGTTACCCACAAAGGGAAGCCCATCAGACTAACAGCTGATCTCTCAGCAGAAACTCTAAAAGCCAGAAGAGAGTGGGGTCCAATATTCAACATTCTTAAAGAAAAGAATTTTCAATGCAGAATTTCACATACGGCCAAACTAAGCTTCATAAGTGAAGGAGAAATAAAATCCTTTACAGACATGCAAATGCTGAGAGATTTTGTCACCACCAGGACTGCCTTACAGGGGATCCTGAAGGAAGCACTAAACATGGAAAGGAACAACTGGTACCAGCCACTGCAAAAACATGCCAAATTGTAAAGACCATCGATGCTAGGAAGAAATTGCATCAACTAACGGGCAAAATAACGAAACTGCATCAACTAACAGACAAAATAACCAGCTAACATCATAATGATAGGATCAAATTCACACATAACAGTATTAACCTTAAATGTAAATGGACTAAATGCCCGAATCAAAAGACACAGACTGGCAAATTGGATAGAGTCAAGACCCATCAGTGTGCTGTATTCAGGAGACCCATCTCACATGCAGAGACACACATAGGCTCAAAATAAAGGGATGGAGGAAGATCTACCAAGCAAATGGAAAACAAAAAAAAAAGCAGGGGTTGCAATCCTAGTATCTGATAAAACAGACTTTAAACCAACAAAGATCAAAAGAGACAAAGAAGGCCATTACATAATGGTAAAGGGATCAATTCAACAAGAAGAGCTAACTATCCTAAATATATATGCACCCAAACAGGAGCACCCAGATTCATAAAGCAAGTCCTTAGAGACCCACAAGGAGACTTAGACTCCCACACAATAATAACAGGAGACTTTAACACCCCACTGTCAATATTAGACAGATCAATGAGACAGAAGGTTAAAAAGGATATCCAGGACTTGAATTCAGCTCTACACCAACTAGACCTAATAGACATCTACAGAACTCTCCACCCCAAATCAACAGAATAAAGCACTCCTCAGCAAATGTAAAAGAACAGAAATCACAACAAACTGTCTCTCAGACCACAGTGCAATCAAATTAGAACTCAGGATTAAGAAACTCACTCAAAACCGCACAACTACATGGAAACTGAACAACTTGCTTCTGAATGACTACTGGGTGCATAAAGAAATGAAGGCAGAAATAAAGATGTTCTTTGAAACCAATGAGAACAAAGACACAACATACCAGAATCTCTGCGACACATTTAGAGCAGTATGTAGAGGGAAATTTATAGCACTAAATGCCCACAAGAGAAAGCAGGAAAGATCTAAAATCGACACCCTAACATCACAATTAAAAGAACTAGAGAAGCAAGAGCAAATACATTCAAAAGCTAGCAGAAGGCAAGAAATAACTAAGATCAGAGCAGAACTGAAGGAGATAGTGACACAAAAACTCCTTCAAAAATCAATGAATCCATGAGCTGGCTTTTTGAAAAAATCAACAAAATTGATAGACCACTAGCAAGACTAATAAAGAGGAAAAGGGAGAAAAATCAAATAGATGCAATAAAGAAATGATAAGGGAGATATCACCACCGATCCCACAGAAATACAAACTACCATCAGAGAATAGTATAAACAGCTCTAGACAAATAAACTAGAAAATCTAGAAGAAATGGATAAATTCCTGGACACATACACCCTCCCCAAGACTGAGTCAGGAAGAAGTTGAATCTCTGAATAGACCAATAACAGGCTCTGAAATTGAGTCAATAATTAATAGCCTACCTACCAAAAAAATTCCTGGACCAGACAGATTCACAGCCAAATTCTACCAGAGGTACAAGGAAGAGCTGGTACCACTCCTTCTGAAACTTTTCCAATCAACAGAAAAAGAGGAAATCCTCCCTAACTCATTTGATGAGGCCAGGATCACTCTGATATCAAAGCCTGGCAGAGACGCAACACAAAAAGAGAATTTTAGACCAATATCCCTGATGAACATCAACGTGAAAATCATCAAATAAAATACTGGCAAACCGAATCCAGCAGCACATCAAAAGCTTATCCACCATGATCAAGTGGGCTTCATCCCTGGGATGGAAGGCTGGTTCAACATATGCAAATCAATAAACATAATCCATCACATAAACAGAAGCAATGACAAAAACCACATGATTATCTCAATAGATGCAGAAAAGGCCTTTGACAAAATTGAACACCCCTTCATGCTAAAAACTCTCAATAAATTAGGTATTGATGGAACATATCTCAAAATAATAAGAGCTATTTATGACAAACCCACAGCCAATAATCATACTGAATGCGCAAAAACTGGAAACATTCCCTTTGAAAAGTGGCACAAGACAGGGATGCCCTCTCTCACCACTCCTATTCAACATAGTGTTGGAAGTTCTGGCCAGGGCAATCAGGCAGGAGAAAGAAATAAACGGTATTCAATTAGGGATAAAGGAAGTCAAATTGTCCCTGTTTGCAGATGACAGGACTGTATATTTAGAAAACCCACCATCTCAGCCCCAAAATCTCCTTAAGATGATAAGCAACTTCAGCAAAATCTCAGGATACAAAATCAATGCGCAAAAATCACAAGCATTGTCTGAGGCAGGCAGATCACAAGGTCAGGAGATCGAGACCATCCTGGCTAACACGGTGAAACCCCATCTCTACTAAAAATACAAAAAAATTAGCTGGGTGTGGAGGCGAGAGCCTGTAGTCCCAGCTACTCGGGAGGCTGAGGCAGGAGAATGGCATGAGCCCGGGAGGTGGAGCTTGCAGCAAGCCGAGATCACACCATTGCACTCCAGCCTAGGCAACAGAGCGAGACTCCATCCAAAAAAAAAAAAAAAAAAAAAAAAACTCACAAGCATTAATATACACCAATAAAAGACAAACAGAGAGCCAAATCATAAGTGAACTCCCATGCACAACTGCTACAAAGAAAATAAAATACCTAGGAATCCAACTTACAAGGGATGTGAAGGACCTCTTCAAGGAGAACTACAAACCACTGCTCAACGAAATAAAGGAGGACACAAACAAATGGAAGAATGTTCCATGCTCATGGATAGGAAGAATCAATATCATGAAAATGGCCATACTGCCCAAGGTAATTTATAGATTCAATGCCATCCCCATCAAGCTACCAATGACTTTCTTCACAGAGTTAGAAAAAACTACTTAAAAGTTCGTATGGAACCAAAAAAGAGCCCACATTGCCAAGACAGTCCTAAGCCAAAAGAACAAAGCTGGAGGCATCACGCTACCTGACTTCAAACTATACTACAAGGTTACAGTAACCAAAACAGCATGGTACTGGTACCAAAACAGAGACGTAGACCAATAGAACAGAACAGAGCCCTCAGAAATAATACCACACATCTACAACCATGGGATCTTTGACAAACCTGACAAAACAAGAAATGGGGAAAGGATTCCCTATTTAATAAATGGTGCTGGGAAAACTGGCTAGCCATATGTAGAAAGCTGAAACTCGATCCTTTCCTTACACCTTATATAAAAATTAATTCAAGATGGATTAAAGACTTACATGTTAGACCTAAAACCATAAAAATCCTAGAAGAAAACCTAGGCAATACCATTCAGGACATAGGCATGGGCAAAGACTTCATGACTAAAACACCAAAAGCAATGGCAAAAAAAAAAAAGCCAAAATAGACACATGGGATCTAATTAAACTAAAGAGCTTCTGCACAGCAAAAGAAACTACCATCAGGGTGAACAGGCAACCTACAGAATGGGAGAAAATTTTTGTAATCTACCCATCTGACAAAGGGCTAATACCCAGAATCTACAAAGAACTTAAACAAATTTACAAGAAAAAAACAAACAACCCCACCAAAAAGTGGGCAAAGGATATGAACAGACACTTGTCAAATGAAGACATTTATGCACCCAACTGACACGTGAAAAGATGCTCATCATCACTGGCCATCAGAGAAATGCAAATCAAAACCACAATGAGATACCATCTCACACCAGTTAGAATGGCGATCATTAAAATGTCAGGAAACAACAGATGCTGGAGAGGATGTGGAGAAATAGGAACGCTTTCACACTGTTGGTGGGAGTGTAAACTAGTTCAACCATTGTGGAAGACAGTGTAGCAATTCCTCAAGGATCTAGAACTAGAAATACCATTTGACCCAGTGATCCCATTGCTGGGTATATACCCAAAGGATTATAAATCACACTACTATAAAGACACATGCACACGTATGTTTACTGCAGCATTATTTGCAATAGCAAAGACTTGGAACCAACCCAAATGTCCATCAGTGATAGATTGGATTAAGAAAATGTGGCACATATACACCATGGAATACTGTGCAGCCATAAAAAAGGATGAGTTCATGTCCTTTGCAGGGACATGGATGAAGCTGGAAACCATCATTCTCAGCAAACTATCGCAAGGACAGAAAACCAAACACTGCATGTTCTCACTCATAGGTGGGAACTGAACAATGAGAATACTTGGACATAGGAAGGGGAACATCACACACAGGGGCCTGACAGGGGGTGGAGGGCTGGGGGAGGGATAGCATTAGGAGATATACCTAATGTAAATGACGAGTTAATGGATGCAGTATGTATACCTATGTAACAAACCTGCACGTTGTGCACATGTACCCTAGAACTTAAAGTATTAAAAAAAAAGAGCCAGGGTCCCAGACTGCACTGAAGCTTCATGAGACCTCTCCTCAGCTGTGCACGGACAAGCGGCCAACTCAGGAGCCCAGGCTGTGGCTTCCCAGTCTGGTGGTGAATCTTCCATAGTCTGGTGAGTGTAAATATATATGTATCTGTTTCCCTTCTCCCCTTCCTATTGCAATTTGCTTATTATATTAATTTGCTTATTCTATCATTTGCTTATTGTATCTGCATTGCCATTTACGAGGGATACAGCTTGTTTACCCTTAATAAATAAAATAAATAAAAATTAAAAATTAAAACAATTAAAATAAGACTCCCATCCTGAAAGGAAAGTACAATCAAGTGGGAGAAAAATCTGTATATTCAAATAACACAAATGTAGTCATATAAAACAATAAAAGGTAGCTAAGAATGAGGGTAGCCAATTAGGGAGCTCCAAATTTGAAAATCATGTTAATCAATAGGCTTACCTTTTTTTGACTATAACATTTACAGTTTACTGAGTGCCAGGTACTCAACTCTCTGCAGAAGGTTCTATTTTTCTTTCCTTATAGGTGAAGAAAATCTCTGAGAGGCTTTTACACTGCTCAAATCCAGAGCCTGTGCTTGCTCTTTCTTCTTTCCCTTTTTGTTTACCTCTTTCTTGTCCTCTCCTCTTTACCCATATTACCTGACCCATCTCCCCTGTAATCTTAATTAACAATCTGGCATATATCCTTCTACATTTTCCTCCATACAGTTTACTTGACCAGAAACAGATTGTGTAATATATACATCTTACATTTCTTGCTCACAATATGTCACAGAAACCCTCCAAATCAACTGGCTTGTTTGTTTTCAGGGTTGTATAATATTTCATGGCAGGGATATATCACAAAATATTCCCCTATTCCTCCATGCTGGGTATTCATTTTGTTCCTTCTCTTCTGTTTGTTTTCTTTTGCCACTATGAACAATGCAGCAATAAATATTCTTATAGATGTCCCAACAGGCCAAAATTTTTATCTCTAGGGGATAAATTTCCAAATTTGAAGTTTTGTAGTTTTACTTGTAATAGATACTGCCAAACTGATTTCCAAAAAAGTTGTGGCAATTCGCATTTCCACCATCAATGTGTGAGTGTACATTTTTCCCACATCTGTACCAGCAATAGGTATTGTATTACTTTTAATTTTGTTAGCCTCATAAGGATGAAATGATATATTATTGTTTACTCTGATTTGCAATTTCTTAACTACACAGGAGTTCTAGCACCTTTTTAAATACTTGCTGGCACCTAGATTCATTTTCTGGTTTTTGCCTGTTTATTTCCTTGCCCAATTTATTTTGGGTAGCCCTTTTTTTTTTTGGTTTGTTTTTTGTTCATTTATTCTTTTTTCTCCCATTACTTTTAGTTGACATGTAATAATTGTACATATTTATGGTATGCAGAGTAATATTTTGATACACGTGTACAACGTATAATGTTCAAGTTAGGGAAATTAGCATATCCATCACCTCAGACATTTATTATTTCTTTGTGTTGGGAATATTCAGAATCTTCTCTTTTGGCTTTCTGAATACATACTGTAAATTATAGTTAACCAAATTTACCTTGGAGTTCTATAGAACACCACAACATATTTTTCCCATCTAGCTGTAATTTTGTATCCAGTAACCAACATCTCCCCAATCTCCCCTCCCCCTACCCTTCCCAGTGTCTGGACCCACAATTCTATTCTCTGCTTCTGTGTGCTCAAAAATTTTTTAGCTCCCACATATGACTGAGAACATTGGCATTTATCTTTCTGTACTTAACTTATTTTGCTTAACATAATGTCCACCAGGCCAAGACTCAGGTCTTAACCAAGAGAAATAATGAATCTATAGATATGAGAAATGGCTATGTTGATTAGTTTAATTTGTACTTAACTTATAAAATAATAGCTTTGTTTCCAAATTTCAAATAACTTTAATATAATCTTACTATTTCCCCTTTCTAAAGATATATCACATATTAAATATTTTTTCTTTGTATATATATATTTTTTTTAAATACCGAAATTTGGTCCTATTAAAAAATGATATATACTGGGATGAAACAACTCCTTGAGATTCAGTGTCTGAGCAAGGAAACAGGACTTGGAAGTTAGGGTGTAGGTAGCCAGATTAATTTTATGGGATTGGAATAAGTTGCATTCTGTTTATAAAATAATCCTTTAGGATTTACTTTTTTTAATTTCAATAGCTTTTGGGGTACAAGTGGTTTTGGTCACATGGATGAATTGTGTAGTGGTGAAGTCTGAGATTTTAGTGCATCCTTCTGAGATTTTAGTGCACCCGTCACCCAAGTAGTGTACATTGTACCCAATGTATAGTTTCTTATCCCTCACCCCCTCTTACCCTCCTCCTTCTGAGTCTCCATAGTTCATTTTATCATTCTGTATGCCTTTGTGTACCCATAGCTTAGCTACCACTTATAAGTGAGAACATACAGAATTTGGTTTTTCTATTCCTGTGTTACTTCACTTAGAATAATGGCCTCCAGCTCCACCCACATTGCTGCAAAAAATATTATTTTGCTCTTTTTTATGGCTGAATAGTATTTCATGGTGTATATGTACCATGTTTTCTTTATCTACTCATTGATCACTGGCAATTAGGTTTGTTCCGTATCTTTGCAATTGTGAGTTATGCTGCAGTAAACATACGTGTGCAGATATATTTTGATATAATGACCTCTTTTCCTTTGGGTAGATACCCAGTAATGGGATTGCTAGATTGAATGGTAGATCTACTTTTAGTTTTTTAAGAAAACTCCATACTGTTTTCCATAGAAGTTTTACTAATTTACATTCTCACGAACAGTGTATAAGTATTCCTTTTTCATCACATCCACACCAACATTTATTGTTTTTTAGTAATGCTCATTCTTGCAGGAACAAGATGGCATCTCGTTGTGGTTTTAATTTGCATTTCCTTGATGAATAGTGATGTTGAATTTTTTTTCATATGTTTTTGGCCATTTGTGTATCTTCTTTTGAGAAATGACTTTTCATATAATTTGCCCACTTTTTAATAAAATTATTTGGGTTTTTCTTGCTTATTTGAGTTCCTTGCAGATTCTGGATATTAGTCCTTTTTGGAAGCATGGTTTGCAAATACTTTCCCTCATTCTGCGAGTTGTCTGTTTACTCTGATAATTATTATTATTATTATTATTATTATTATTATTATTATTATTATTGCTGGGCAGAAGCTTTTTAATTTAATGAGGTCCCATTTATTTATTTTTGTTTTTGTTGCATTTGCTTTTGGAGTCTGAGTCATGAATTCTTTGCCTAAGCCAATATACAGAAGAGTTTTTCCTAGATTATCTCCTACAATTTTTAAGGTTTTAAGTCTTGTAAGTGTTTGATCTATCTTGAGTTGATTTTTGTATAAGGAGAGAGATAGGATCCAGTTTCATTATTCCACATGTGGCTAGCCAGTTTTTCCAGCACCATTTATTAAATAGGCTGTTCTTTTCCCAATTTGTGTTTTCATATGCTTTGTAAAAGATTATTTGGTTGTAAGTATTTGGCTTTATTTCTGGGTTTTCTATTCTGTTCCATTGGTCTATGTATCAACTTTTATACATGCACCATGCTGTTTTGGTAACTATAGCATTATAGTATAATTTGAAGTCTGGTAATGTGATGCCTCCAGATTTGTTCTTTTTGCTTAGGATTGCTTTGGCTATTCAGGCTCTTTTTGGGTTTTACATAAATTTTAGGATTATTTTTTCTAATTCTATGAAAAAAATGATGTTGGCATTTTGATTGAAATTGCATTCAATCTGTAGATTGCTTTAGGCAGTATGGTCATTTTCACAATATTGATTGTCCAGTTCATGAGTGTGGATGTGTTTCCATTTGTTTGTATCATCTATGATTTCTTTCAGTAGAGTTCTGTAGTTCTTTTATAGGTCTTTTACTTCCTTGGTTAAATATATTCCTAAGTATTTAATTTTTTGCAGCTGTTATAAAAGGGATTACATTCTTGATTTGATTCTCTGCTTGGTTGTTGGTGGTGCATAGCAGTGCTACTGATTTGCATACATTGATTTTGTAACCTGAGACTTTACTAAATTTGTTTATCAAATATAGGAGTCCTTTGGAGGAATCTTTAGGGTTTTCTAGGTATGGGATCATATTATCAGTGAACAGCAATAGTTTGCCTTCCTGTTTTCCAATTTGAATGCCCTTTATTTCTTTCTCTTGTCTGATTGTTCTCGCTAGGATTTAGTACGTTAAATATAAGTGGTGAAAGTGGGCATCTTTGTATTATTCCAGTTTTCAGGGAGAATGCTTTCAACTTTTCCCCATTCAGTATGATGTTGACTGTGGATTTTTCATAGATAATTTTTATTATTTTGAGGTAAGCCCCTTCTATGCCTAATTTGTTGAGTGGTTTTATCATAAATGATGCTCGATTTTATCAAATGCTTTTTCAGCATCTATTGAAATGATCATGGTTTTGTTTTAATTCTGTTTATGTAATGCATCACATTTATTATCTTGTGTATGTTAAACCATTCTTAAATTCCTGGGATGAAACCCACTTGATGATCATGTATTTTTTTTTTTTTATGTGCTGTTGGATTCGGTTAGCTAGTGTTTTTTTGAGGATTTTTGTATCTATGTTCATCAGGAATATTGGTCTGTAGTTTCCTTTTTTTGTTATGTCCTTTCCTGGTTTTGGTATTGGGGTGATACTGGCTTCACAGAATGAGTTAGGGAGGGTTTCCTCTTTCTCAATCTTTTGAAATAGTTTTAGTAGGATTAGTACCAATTATTCTTTGAATGTCTGGTAGAATCCAACCACGAATCCATCTGGCCCTGGGCTTATTTTTTTGTTGACAATATTTTGATTACTCATTCAATGTCACTGTTTTTGTTATTGGTCTGTTCAAGGTTTCTATTTCTTCCTGATTCAATCTAGAAGGGTTGTATATTTCTAGGAATTTATCCATTTCCTCTAGATTTTCTAGTTTCTATGCATAGAGGTGTTCAATGTAGTCTCAAATGGTCTTTTGTATTTCTGTGGTGTCAGTTGTAATGTCCCCACTTTACTTCTAATTGAGTTTATTTGAATCTCCTCTCTTCTGGGTTAATCTAGCTAATGGTCTATCAGTTTGGTTTATCTTTTTGAAAATCAGTTTTTGTTTCATTGATCTTTTATATTTTTTGTTTTTATTTCATTTAGTTGTGCTCTGATCTTTGTTAAATCTTTTCTTCAGCTAACTTTGGGTTTAATTTGTTCTTGTTTCTCTAGTTCTTTGAGGTATGACAATTGGTGATCAATTTGTGATCTTTTAGGCTTTTTGATGTAGGCATTTAGTACTATAAACTTTCCTCTTAATACTACACCTTTGCTAAACTTTCCTCTTAGTACTACCAGAGATTTTGGTAACTTGTATCACTATTATCATTCATTTAAAGGAACTTCTTAATTTCTGTCTTGATTTCATTAACTCAAAAATCATTCAAGAGCAGATTGTTTAATTTTCATGTATTTGTAGTTTTGAGAGTTCCTTTTGAAGCTGATTTCTATTTTTATTCCACTGTGGTGTAAGAAGATACTTTATATGATTTTGATATGTTTAAATTTATTGAGACATTTTTGTGGCCTATCATATGGTCTGTCTTGGAGAATATTCCATGTGCTGATGACAAGACTGTATATTCTGCAGTCGTTGGGTAGAATGTTCTGTAAATACCTGTTAGGTCTGTTCATTCTAGAGTGTAGTTTAAGCCCATCATTTCTTTGTTGACTTTCTGTTTTGATGATCTGTCTAATGCTGTCAGTGGAGTGTTGTAGTCTCCCACTATTATTGTGTTGTGGTCTATCTCATTTCTTAGGTCTAGTAGTAAAGGTTTTTTTATTAATATGGTAGTTCCAGTGTTAGGTGCATATAAGTTTAGGATTATGATGTTTTCTTGTAGGAATGATCCTTTTATAATTATATAATGGTCTTTTTGGGTTTTTTTGTTTTTTTGTTTTTTTGTTTTACTATTGTTACTTTAAAGTCTGCTTTATCTAAGAGTGGCTACTCCTGCTCACTTTTGGTTTCCATTTGCGTGGAATGCCTTTTTTCACTCCTTTTCCTTGAGTTTATATGAATCCTTATGTGTTAATGAGTCTCAAGGACAGTAGATACTTGTTTTGTGATTTTTTTATTCATTCTGCCAATCTATCTTTTAGGTGGAACATTTAGGCCATTTACATTCAACATTAATAGTGAGATTTGAGGTGCTGTTCCAGTCATCATGTTATTTGTTACCTGGATACTTTGTTTTTTCCATTGTGTTATTGTTTTATAGGCCCTGCAAGTTTTATGCTTTCAAGAGGTTCTATCCCGGTGCATGTCAACCTTTTGTTTCATGACTTTCCAGTGCATTTTGTAATTCCGTAAAGATGTCTTTCATTTCCAGAGGTTCTGATTGGCTTTTCTTTAAAATATCTGTCTCTTTAGAAAAATTCTTATTCATATCCTGAATTGTTTTTTAATTTATATTGGACTTCACCTTTCTCTGGTATCTCCTTGAGTAGCTTAATAATTAACCTTTTGAATTCTGTATCTGGCATTTCAAAGATTTTATCTTGGTTTGGATCCATTGCTGGAGAGCTAGTGTGATCTTTTGAGGTTGCTATAGAACCCAGTTTTGTCATATTACCAGAATTATTTTCTGGTTCCTTCTCATTTGTGTAGACTATTTTTTCTAATTATTCTTGAATTTATTTTTGATGTGACTGGTTTAATTTCTTTTTTTCCCCTTAAGGATGTGACCTTGATGTTTATAATTTATTATAGCCTAGTTTGACTCCTAATGCTTTCAGGGGTGAAGACTCTATATGAGTTCCTTGATTATATAGTCTTTATATGATGGCTTTCTCAGATATTGATTGTAGTAGCAATGTGCTCAATGTGTGGGCAAGTTCACGGTCACCCATGGGGTTGGAATAGCAGAAGTCTCTTGAAGCTTACCTTGTTCCCTGGTGGTATATACACTTTATTTATTTATATTCATTCATTCCCCAGTGTTTTATTTACTGGGTTGAATAGTGCAGGCTTCAGGCCAGTAGGGGAACTGTCCATGGGTAGAAACTGGTTGTGGCTATCCAGTTTCTGTCAAACTTGTACAATTATCCAGACAAACTTGTACGATTTATTACTTAATAATGCCCTCTGATATGAGTACTCTTTTCCCGAATTTGATTGCTAGTATCTGCTGCTCCTTTATAAGCATGTAGAATAATTATCTATAGGGATGGCAGTTTTGTCTACCTTCAAATTAGACCCACTTGAGCAGTTCTAGATTGGATACAACCCATGGAAATATGATTTTAGGAATCTAAGAATCTCCTAGCATCTATATTGGATCTCTAAATCATAAGAGGATTGAACTGTAGTGTATAAAATTAGAAATCAGAGGGACAAAATTCCAGCACTGTTCAAAACAGAGGACACCCTGATTATCAAATAAGAGTATTCCTTCTCTCTCAGCCACAGATCTATAATGAGGAAACATGAGTCAGATTAGTGTAGCTTCATGTCACTAGTCATCAGCCCATTCACCTAAATCCATTTCTTATGCTGCCCTGATGAATACAATGAGGCTTCCCAAGTGCAGTTAATGTCTCCCTCCTGCTAAGAGCTCCAGGGCCTTGGGGACTCTCCAGTTCTCCTTTTTATTCACCATTCTAAATGCATCCATCCTCTCTATTAGACATCTGTACTTTCAACTGCATTCCTTCAAACTAGGTTTCTTCTACTGCACCCAGCCCCTCCAGATTTTTACTGTAGTTGTCTCTTCACTTCAGTTTTATTCTGGGTACTATCTTTCTGATTTCTTTTGTCTAAAAAATTATTCATGTCTAAATTATCCAGTCATACTTGTACAATTTATTACTTAATACTGCCCTCTGCCATTTTCCAGAACTTGTTAGTATCTGCTGCTCCTCTATAAATATGTCGAATAATTATCTATAGGGATGGTAGTTTTGTCTACCTTCAAATTATACTCACATGAGTTTCCTAGATTGGATACAACCCATGGGAATACGATTTCAAGAATCTAAGAATCTCCTAGCATCTATATTGGATCTCTAAATATCAATTTCCACGAAAAAGAAGCAGTGTCCTTGGAAAAATCCCTGATTCCAGGTTTTCTTGGATAGAAATAGTACAAGAAAAGCATGGCTCTTGTCATAACAGAAAGCAAGGAAGTATTTAAAGACTATTAAAGTTGTATCAAAAGAATGCAAGAGCCAAATTGAAGAGCCTACTAATGACCAAAGATGAGATAATGTGAGCATTCATCAGAACGAAAACTGCAACATTTTAAAACACATCAAACATATTATTTTGAGTTTATAACAATACTTTAAAAATCTATTGGTCTCTGGGTGCTAGGAACCAAATGTCATTTTGAAAACTAGTAAGTAAAGGAAAATCATGCTGCTATAAAGACACATGCACACGTATGTTTATTGCGGCACTATTCACAATAGCAAAGACTTGGAACCAACCCAAATGTCCAACAATGATAGACTGGATTAAGAAAATGTGGCACATATACACTATGGAATACTATGCAGCCATAAAAAATGATGAGTTCATGTCCTTTGTAGGGACATGGATGAAATTGGAAATCATCATTCTCAGCAAACTATCGCAAGAACAAAAAACCAAACACCGCATATTCTCACTCATAGGTGGGAACTGAACAATGAGAACACATGGACACAGGAAGGGGAACATCACACTCTGGGGACTGTTGTGGGGTAAAGGGAGGGGGGAGGGATAGCTTTAGGAGATATACCTAATGCTAAATGACGAGTTAATGGGTGCAGCACACCAGCATGACACATGTATACATATGTAACTAACCTGCACATTGTGCACATGTACCCTAAAACTTAAAGTATAATAATAATAAAATAAAAAAATGGAAAAGAATCAAGCCTTTCTTATATAAATTGTACTCAGGATAACCAAGGTGTTGATTAAGGGCAGTTTCATTTTTAGATTTCAGCTAATAGATTAAGAAGAAATGAAAGAAATTTGCTTCCAGCCACTATGATGTAAAAAGGATTTCACTTGTCTTTCTACCATAAGGAACTAAAGAACCAGACTAAATATATAGAACAACAATTTTCAGATGCTGGACATCAGGTGGTAAAGAAATTTCAAGGCAAGTGAAGATGCAGAAAAATATGAGCAATAATCAGAAAAAAACAATAGAAATACTCAAAATATAACACAGATAATGGAACTAACTAACGAAGATCTTAAACTACTTACTATAAATATGCTTCATATGTTCAAGATAGAGGAATGCATCCATACAATGAGAACATAAATAGAAGACATAAAATACACAACTAATGGAATCTTTAGAGATTAAAAAATCCCTAAAATGAAATTACACTGAAAGGGACTGATAGCATTTTATACACTGCAGAAGAAGAGATCAATAAACTTGAAAATATAGCTGTAAGAACTACCCAAAATATAGAGTCAATTAAAAAGACTGAAGAAAATGAACAAAACCAAAGTGACTTGTAGGATAGTATCAGGCAATCTAAAACGTATGTAATTGGAGTCCTAGAAGAAGGGAGCTAAAACATATCTTTAAAAACAATGGCTAAAAATTTCCCCAAATCGATGAAAACTATATACCACAGGGAAATTGTTTTCCATGTGTCTCTCACATTACTACACATATTATAAGCAGAGGCATTCTGTTTTTACTCTGAACTATCTTTTGAAATATGTTTGTATTGCAAATAGCCTTGGAATGCAAAAATAGTGTCTTGTTCTGAAAAAGGGGTGGATTTACTTACAGTCTTGGAAGAGAAGGTAAGATAAGAGATACCTTTATTTTCCTATCTAGAGTAAAAGGAAGACATGCATACTGCCCCTTCTAAAAGATTCAGATTCCCTAAGTTCAGGGTCTTTGACTGTAACACAGCTCAATTGAAGTTCAAATGCCACCTGGACCTCTTCACATAACCTTGTAGGAATTGAAGATCAGAGAAGTGTTGATACTCTAGCTACTATTATTACTGTGAATAATTAAGTACTCCATGAAACTGCAGTAAGCTAACTTGTTAGCTTGGAAAGTAGGGTAAAATCTCAGACCCTTCACAGTTCTTAATATATATCCACAGACCCAAGCAGCTCAACCCATCCCAGGAAGAATAATCATAAATCAAATCACACCAAAGAAGATCACACTCAAATTGCTAAAAATCAGTAATGAAGAGAAAATATAATGTGTCGTTTCAAAAGGCATATTATATACAGAGAAAGACTTTCAATAAGAAGTCTTTCCAAGACTTCCAAAACAAACTTTAGAAACCAGAAGACAATAAAATAATATCATTAAAGTGCTTAAAACAAAAATTTAAAAAACGATCAACCTAGAAATTTATATTCAAAGAAAAATCTTTTAGAAAAAAAGGAAAAATAAAGACATTTTATTTCCAAAAAACAAAAGTTGATGAACTTCATTGCCAGCAGACATGCACTATAAGAAATGTCAAAGGAAGTTTCTTAGGCTAAAGGAGAAGAACACTATTGAGAAATTTAGATCTACAGAAAAGAATAAAGAGCATCTGAAATAAGTATGTGGGAATATATAGATATATATTTCTCATTTTTAATCATGTCAAAAGATAACTGACTGTTACAAACCAAAATAATAGCAATGTGAAGTTTATAACATTTGTAAATGTAAAATGTATAACAATAGCACAGGAGATAGGAAGAAGTAAAAGGAAGTATACTGTTATAAGGTTCTTTATATGAAGTGGCATAACAATATTTGAAGGTTGACTACACTAAGATAAGGATTCACATTGTAAACCCTAGAGCAACCATGAGAAAATAAAACAAAGCATCATAAGGCGATTATAAATAAAAAGTCATCAAAAATATTCAAATCAAATGAGGGCAGGAAAAGAGGAAAAAGGAAACAAAAAACAAGCGGGACAAATTTTTAAAAATTACAAATTAGTAGATTTAGACCCATCATATTAACCACTGAATTAAATTTAAATGATCTAAATAGTCATATTAAAAGGCAGAGATTGCTAGATTGGATAAAAATGGAAGGAGCCAATTACATGCTGATTATAAGAAATCTAGTTTAAATATAAAGACATAAATAGGTTAAGGCAGAACTATGAAAAAAGATATACCAGGAAAACAGTGATGTGATTACATCAATATCAGATAAAGTACATTTAACACAATAAATATTTCTAGGGATAAAAAGAAGTATTCTTTTTTTAAGTGGTCAATCCATCAAGAAGATATAACAAATATAAATGTTTATGCACCTAACATCAGGGTTTCAAAATATGTAAAACTAAAAGGAAAAATCCATAAATAAAGTTGAAGATTTCCACATACTCCACTATCAGTAATAAATGGAACACATAAAATAAATAAAAATTGTAAGATTTGAACAACATAATCAACTTGACTAAACTGACAATTTAGAACACGTCACTCAATAACCATATAATAAACATTTTGTCAAGTACAAACGGAATATTCACCAATATAAACCATATTTTCTGCTATAAAACAATCATGAATAAATTTGAAAAGATTATTAAATTTATTTTCTCACCAAAATGTTTCTTTTTTAGAAATGGTGTGTTGCTATGTTGCCCAAGCTGGTCTCAAAACTCCTGGCCTGAAGGAATCTTCCCACATCATCCTCAGAGTAGCTGAGATTGTAGGCACAAGCCTACAATCTGTAGCTAACTACACTAACTGAAAGTGAAATTAAACTAGAAATTAATTAAAGGACAATATCTAGAATGTCACCAAATATTCATAAATTTACAATAACACTACTAATTAATATGGGTCAATGAAGAAAAAAATCAAGGGAAATTAAAACATATTTTGGATTGAATGAAAATGAAAACACAACATATTTCTAATTCAAAGCAATAATTACTTATATCAGAAGGGAGAAATAAAGGCCTCAAATCAATAATCTAAGCTTCCACATAAGAAAAAGAAGTACAAATTAAACAAAATTAAGCAGAATGAAGGAAAGGCAACACAGCAGGAATCAAACACAAAACAAGAAATAGAGCAAATCAATGATATCAAAAGTCAATCTCATTAAAAAGATGAATAAATTTGATAAACCTCTAGCACATCAAGTGTGGAAAGAAAGAGAATATATGAACTGTCAGTATCAGAAATGAGAGAGGAACATTATTACAAATCCTACATTCAAATGACAATGTATTCTTTTTAAAAAAATGGTAAATTTAATAATTTAGATGAAATGAAATAACGAGCAATTTGATAAAAATTACCAAACTGATATTAAAAGAAATTAATAACCATATATATCAATTAAAGAAATTTATTTTGTAATTTAAAATCTTCCCACAAATAATCTTCCGGACCAGATGGCTTCAACTGGTGAACTCTACCAAACACTTAAGGGAAAAAATACCAGTTCTGCACAAATATATACAGGAAAAAAAGAGAGAGAGAAAATACGTCCAACTCATTATATGAGACCAGCATTTTTATAATACCAAAATCAGACAAAATTATTACACAAAAGAGAAACTACAGGCCAATATCATCCTCATGAACATAAATGTTAATATTCCTATTTTCCTTCTTTCCTATTTTCCATCTATATATCTATCTAAGTGATAATAGGAGAAAAATGCCTGGTATCAATCTTTATTTCTATAGTATAAAATTATCTATAAAGATAGGTTTTTGGGTGACCGAAGCACAGGATATTACTGAACAACTGGGACTGAGTCAGGAAATAGGGAGGAAGAGTCCAGCAGTTTTGCCAGAATTCAAAATTTTGTTGCCTTTAGAAGAGGAAGTAGGAGATTCCTAGAAGCCAACTTTATGTTTCACAGATATAGAAGTCAACTAGGACTTTTTAAATAGTTGGGTTTTACTTGTGGCTTCTAACCCTGAGGGTGGTTCCAGTTGCTCAGGACCTAAAGGATCAGGTGCAAAAGCCAGCCATAGAAAGCTCCAGGATTCAAAAAACATGATTTTGAGCTGGGTGCTGGGGATACATAGACTGCAACCGAATTCTTGTCTTGAGGAGCATGTAATACAGCAGGAGGCTGCATGGCCCTGCAAGGTTGGTTAAAGGCACAATTATGGAGAAGAGACTCAGGGTAGCTATATTCAACAAGTAGAGCAGCAATTACAGAAGCAGGACACTCAGAGGCAATGTGCTTTTAGCTTTTGTAGGACCTACCCTCAGACATGCCATACATATTAATATTCCAAAACAAAATTAAGCAAACCTATTCCACAAATCCATAGGAAAGATAAAATACCATAATCATTTTAAGATTTATGCTAGGAATGCAAAATTAGTTTAATATTTGAAAATCAATTAATGTAATCCACCACACTAACAAACTAAGAAGAAAAATAACATATTCATTTCCATAGGTGAAGAAAAAGCATTTGTCAAAATGTAATAACCATTCATGAAAAACATTCTTACAAACTAGTAACAGAAGAGAATGTCCTCATTCTGATGTAAACAGCATCATATCATGTGGCATGTAAAAACCTACAGCTCACATCGTACTTAATGGTTAAAGACCACATTAATTTGTCTGAAGTTTAGAAACAGGGCAAGATGCTCTCACCCCTTCTATTCAACATTATACTGAAGGTTATAGACAGTGCAATCAGGAAAGAAAAAGAAATAAACAGCATATAGATTAGGAAGTAAGACAAAAAACTGTTTTTATTTACAAATGATGTGATCATCTATGTCAAAAATTCTAAGTAATTCACTTAAAGAAAAAAAGCTACTAGAATAAGTGTTTAGTAAGGTCCCAAGATTCAAGATCAGTCAGTAAAAATCAATTGTATTTCTATATTCTAACAACAAAAGCCTTAGAATTTAAAATTTTAAAAAGCAATACCATCTGTAATAACATCAAAACTATGAAATATTTAGAAATAAATTTAACAAAATATGTGCAAGATCTCTACACTGAAAATACAGATGAGAGAAATAAAGACCTAAATAAATGGAGAGAGATAGAATATTCTTCTAATACTTTACATTGTTCAGATGTTATTGTTCCCCAAATTGACCAATAGATTCAAAACAGCACCAATCAAAATTGAAATATACTTTTTTGGCAGAAATTGACAAGCTATAAAAGTGAATAGCCAGAAAGAAATGATTTTTAAAAAAGATGAACTTAGGAGACCAACACTACCTGATTACAACAGCTGCAATAAAGCTATAGTAATCAAGGCAGTGTGGTACTGGCATGAGGAAAAACACATAGGTCAAAGAAACAAAATAGAGAGCTCAGAAATAGGTTTACATATATATACCTAATTAGTTTTAAAAGAAAAAGGTGCCAAGGTAATACAACGGAACAAGAAAGTCTTTTCAGCAAATAGCTACATAAAAAGAAAAATCAATCTCAACCGTTACCCCATACCATCTATAAAAATTAACTCAAAATGAATTATACACCTGGATCTAAAAGTAAAAACCTGCAAAATTTACAGAAGAAACCCTCAAACATCTTCATAAAGGTAGATAAAGATTTTTTCAATGATGAAATTGATAAATCATTAAAAAACTGATAAATTACAGTTTATCAAACTAAAAATTTTTGCTCTTTCAAAGTCACTTTTAAGAGATGCAAAGATAAGACATAGATTGGAAGAAATTATTTTCAAAACATCTCTGATAAAGGGCTTGTATTCCGATAAGAAAAAAGGTATTCCAATTCAACAGTAAGAATCAAACAATCTGATAAAAATTGACAAAAAGATTTGATCAGACACTTCAACATATATATATGGAAAAAAGACACTCAATATTACTATTCATTAGGAAAATGCAAATTATATATATAATGAGATATAACTACATACCCAGTAGAATGTCTAAAATTAAAAAGATTGACCATACAAAGTTTCAGCCTGCCTATGGAGCAAATGAAACTCTTTAATATTGCTGGTGAGAGTGCAAAATGGCACATTCACTTGGAAAAGAATTAGGCAGTTTCTTATAAAGTTACACATACAATAACCACATAACCCAGCAAACCAGCTAATAGGTACTGACCCAAGGGGGAAAAATAGTTAATTAAAAATACTTTCTTCTTTTTTAAGACCTCATAGCCTGCCATTCCTTTTTAAAATAAAAGGGTAAGTAGCTTTAGATATAAATACTGAAATAATTAAAAATCAAATTAATTTATGTCTGGGGTTTGCTTTAAAATAACCCAGGATAAGAAAATTGATAGAAAATTGCCCATGGATTTAATATTGTTTTAACTAAGATGTACATGGGAGTTTGTTATTCTATTCTCTCCTGTCTGTGTTTTTTGAAAAGAAAAAGGAGCTCAGGGAACAAATTTCTAAATTATCTCCTCTTTAACCTAAAAACCAAAATAATGCCAACAAAGCTATTCTTGATCTTTGAGCAGCAAATGCCAAGGATGATAAATATTGAAGAAGTATTACTATTAGTTTGTTTCAGTTGAATTTCCTTCCTTCTCAACCTCTTGAAATGAGTGAATACATTCAGTAGAACTAGCTGAGGCTTAAAAATTTCAGAAATTATATCCATTCACCTTCACTTTTTATCTTTACTCTAAAATAATAACAGCCACGATAGCAGAAGAAATACTTTTGATGTTAATGTGGGCATGATCCTCTTGCAGAATAACAACAAATTTTCTGTGTAGAGTATCATGTAAACTGGCTCTGACTGGCATTAGCTATTTCATCACAGAAAAGAAGACCAGCATAGCACATTCAAGATTCAAATTCTGGAAACATTAGGTCAAAAGGTCCCAGCATACATGACCACAATCCTACCAATATAGACAGGAGCAGCTACAAACAGAAGCTGGTCCAGTGAGGCTTTTTTCGCTCAACCTGCTGAATTGCAAATCACCTCTGTCAAGCACACACATTCCTTAAGTTGGTGCCACATTCTGTATACTAACATACTAAGTACCAGGAATTCCAGAAGGCACTTCCTTTTAGCAAAATCTCAACTAAAGTTGATGCAGTTTACATGGAAGTGGAAGTAGATATATATGCATAATCTAGAAGATGCTGATGAGGTATTGTAAGCCTTTAAATGTCTTGCTAAAGAGTCTAGAACTAACTTTGAATATGAATAATTGATAATAATTGTTATCAACTAATATTTTTAACTGGCATGTCCCCAAGATACTTCATTCGACCATTTTAATTAAGCAATATATTTAAGTGCCACAAGGTGGAGTGGGAGCAAGGTGGCAGAATAGAAGGCTCCACTAATCATCCACTCCACCGCCACCCAGGACACCAATTTAACAACTATCTACACACAAAAAGCACCTTCATAAGAATCAAAAATCAGGTGAGCATTCACAATATCTGGTTTTAAAGTCATATCACTGAAAGATGTATGGAAGAGGTAGAAAAAAACAGTCTTGAATTGATGATACCACCCCTCACCCATCCCCCAGCAGTGGCAGTGTGGTGCAGAGAGCATTTTGGCATGCTTGGGAGAGGGAGATCAAAGGATTTCTGAGGCATTGAACTCAGTGATGCCCTATTATAACAGAAAACAAGACCACACCAAACTCTGCTGACACCTGCCCAAAGAGGGAGCATTTAAACTAGCCCTAACCAGAGGAGAATCACTGATCTCAGTGGTCTGAACTTGAGTTCCCATAAGCCTTGCCACTGCAAGCAAAAGTGCTCTGGGGCTCTAACTAAACTTAAAACACAGTCTAGGTTGCAAAGAATGCAACTCCTAGATGAGTCCTAGTGCTGAACTGGGCCCCTGCCAGTGGACTGGGGTAGGGGGGATATGACCTACTGAGACAGAAGCCAGCATATTTAAGGGAGTCCTGGCATCACCCCTCCCCTAACCTCAGGCTGTACAGCTCACAGCTCCAAAAGACACTCCTTCCCTCCACTCGAGGAGAGGAGAGGGCAGAGTGAGGACTTTGTCTTACATCTTGGATACCAGTTCAGCCAGAGCAGGATAGAGCAATAATCAGAGTTATGAGGCACCCCCTTTTCCAGGCCCTAGATCCTGGAAGACATTTCTAGACACACTTAAGGCCAAAAGGAAATCTGCTGCCTTAAAGGGAAGAACCCAGTCCTGACAGGATTAATTACCTA
Organism: Homo sapiens; assembly: GCF_000001405.40. Taxonomy (NCBI): domain Eukaryota; kingdom Metazoa; phylum Chordata; class Mammalia; order Primates; family Hominidae; genus Homo; species Homo sapiens. The sequence goes on from NC_000014.9 coordinate 38,694,508, forward strand.
CTAACCATCAGCAATACCCAGGTACTACATTGAGGACCCTGGGTGAGACTCTGATACTCACTGCATTCAGATGAGACTCAGCACATTCCCAGCTGTGGTGTTTATGGGGCAAGACTCTTTCTACTTAAGAAAAGCAGAGGGAAAAGCAAAGGGGACTTGGTATTGCACACTACATACAAGCCCAGCCATAGTGGGGGTAGAGCAGTAAGTGGGCTCTTCGGTTCTCCGATTCCAAGTCTTGGCTCTTGGACAGCATTTTTAGACCCACCCTGGGCCAGAGTAGAGCCCATTGCCCTGAAGGGTGAGTGCCAGGCCAGGAAGCATTCACCACAATTCAGCTTCAGTCAGGAAGCTGACTGAAGAGTCCTTGGGCTTTAAGGAAATACTGTTGGTAGTCTGGCAGTACTTCCTGTGGGCCTATTGTAGCGGGGGCAATGGGGTGAGGTCCCTCTGCCTCTGCAAATGGAAGGGAAGAGTGGTAAAAACTCCACCTTGTGGCTTGAGTGTCAACTCAGCCATAGGACAATAGAACACCAGGTAGACTTCCAAGGTTTTTGATTCTAGTCCTTGATTCCTGGATGGCACCTCTGGACATGCCCAGGGCCTGGGAGAACTCACCAACATAAAGGGAAGGACATAAGCCAGGCTTCCCTTGCCACTTGCTGATTGTAGAGCCTCAGGGCCTTGACCAAGTATAGGTCATAGGCAGGGAGTGGTTACAGCAGGCCTTGGGTGAGTCCCAGTGCTGTTCTGGCTTCAGGTTTGACCCAGCGCAGTCCTAATGGTGGTGGACACAGGGTGTGCTTTGTCATACCACCAGCACCTCCAGATGGCTCAGAACAGAAAAAGAGACTCTGTTCATTCAGAAGAAAAGAACAGTCTCTGCCTGGTAATCTAGAGAATTCTTTTGGATCTTGTCCAAGACTATCAAGGCAGTACGTCTATGAGTCTGCAAGAACCACAGCATTAATGAGATTGGGGTGCCCTCTAAAGCAGATACAGCTTATATCACAAGACCTAAGTCCTTTCGAATATCGGGAAAGCCTTCCCATGAAGGACAAGCAAAACAAGTCCAGACTGAGAAGACAACAATAAATAACTAGGTCTTCAATGCTCAGACACCAAAGAATATCTTTAAGCATCAACACCATCCAAGAAACTATAATCTCTCCAAATGAACTAAGTAAGTCACCAGGGACCAATTCTGGAGAAACGGAGATACATGACCTTTCAGATAGAGAATTCAAAATAGCTGTGTTGAGGACACTCAAAGAAATTCAAGATAACACAGAGAAGGAATTCATAATTGTATCAGATAAATTTAACAAAGAGATTAAAATAATTAAAAAGAACCAAGCAGAAATTCTGGAGCTGAAAAATGCAATTGGCATACAGAAGAATGCATCACAGTCTTTTAATAGCAGAAATGGTCGAGAGGAAGAAATAATTAGTGAGCTTGAAAACAGGCTATTTGAAAATACACAGAGGAGACAAAACAAAAGAATAAAAAACAATAAAGCATGCCTGCAGGATCTAGAATATAGGCTTAAAAGGGCAAATCTAAGAGTTATTGGCCTTAAAGAGGAGGTAGAGAAAGCAATAGGGGTAGAAAGTTTATTCAAAGGGATAATAACAGAGAACTTCCCAAACCTAGAACAAGATATCAATATCCAAGTACAAGAAGGTTATGGAACACCAAGTAGATTTAATCCAAAGAAGACTACCTCAAGGCATTTAATAGTCAAACTCCCAAAGATCAGAGATAAAGAAAGGATCCTAAAAGCAACAAAAGAAACAAATAACATACAATGGGGATCCAGTATATCCGGCAGCAGATTTTTCAGGAGAAATCTTATAGGCCATGAGAGAGTGGCATGACATATTTAAAGTTATGAAGGAAAAAGAATTTTACCCTAGAATAGCATATCTGGCAAAAATATCCTTCAAATATGGAGAAATAAAGACTTTCTGAGACCAAAAAAGAAAAAGTTGAGGGATTTCATCAACATCAGGCCTGTCCTACAAGAAATTCTAAAGGAAATGCTTCAATTAGAAAGAAAAGAATGTTAATGATCAATAAGAAATCATCTGAAGTTACAAAACTCACTGGTAATAGGTAGACAGAAGAACACCGAATATTATAATACTGTAACTATGTTGTATAAACTACTCTTTGTTTTTTGTTTTTGTTTTTTTTTTTTAGAGTCTCACTCTGTCACCCAATCTGGAGTGCAGTGGTGTGGTCTCAGCTCACTGCAACCTCCACCTCCCAGGTTCAAGTGATTCTCCTGCCTCAGCCTCCCGAGTAGCTGGGATTACAGGTGCCCACCACCATACCCAGATAATTTTTTGTATTTTTTTTTTTAGTAGAGATAGTGTTTCACCCTGTTGGCCAGGCTGGTATTGAACTCCTGACCTATGGTGATTCACCCGCCTTACCCTCCCAAAGTGCTGGGACCCACTCTTAAGTAAAAAGACTAACCAAGGAACCAGTAAAAAATAATAACTATAATTTTTCAAGACATAAACGGTACAATAAGATATAAATGGAAACAACAAAATGTTAACAAGTTGGGGCACAAAGTTAAGGCATATGGTTTTATTAGTTTTCCCTTTGCTTGGTTGGTTGTTTGCTTATACAAAGAGTGTTAAGTCATTATCAGCTTAAAATAACGGGTTATAAGATAGTATTTTCAAGCCTCATGGTGACCTCAAACCATAAAACATACAACAAATACACAAAAAATAAACAGCAAGAAGCTAAGCCATATCACCAGAGAAAATCACCTTCACTATAAGGAAGACAGGAAGTAAAATAAAAAGAAAAGCCAACAAAACAACAGGAAAAAAAATAACAAAATGATAAGAGTAAGTCCTTACTAAAAAATAATAACATTGAATGTAAATGGACTAAATTTTTCAATCAAAAGGCATAGACTAGCTGAATGGATTTTAAGAAGACCCCAAAATCTGTTGCCTATCAGAAACACATTTTACCCATGAAGACACCCATAGACTGAAAATGAAGGGATAGAAAAACATATTTCATGACAATAAAAACCAAGAAAGACCAGGAATACTTGTATCAGACAAAATAAATTTAAAGACAAAAACTGTAAGAAGAGACAAAAAGGTCACTGTATAATGATAAACGGGTCAATTCAGCAAGAGGTTATAATTTTAAATATATATGTCCCCAACACTAGAGAACCCAGCTATATAAAGCAAATATTATTAGAGCTATAAAGAGAGATAAGTCCCAATACATACATAGCTGGAGACTTCAACAACCTACTTTCAGCATTGAACAGATAGATCTTTCAGACTGAAAACCAACAAAGAAACATCAGACTTAATCTGCACTATAGAACAAATGGACCTAATAAATATTTACAGAACATTTCATCCCATGGCTCCATAATACACATTCTTCTCCTCAGCACATAGATCATTCTCAAGGATAGACCATATATTAAATCACGAAGCAAGTCTTAAAACATTCAAAAGAAATTGAAGTATTATCAAGCATCTTCTGTAACTGCAATGGAATAAAACTAGAAATCAATAGCAAGAGGAAATTTGGAAACTATACAAATACATAACAATCAAACAATATACTCCTGAATGACCAGTGGGTTAATGAATTAATTAATAAGGAAATGGAAAGATGTCTTGAAACAAATGATAATGGAAACACAACATACCAAGACCTATGGGATACAGCAAAAGTGTACTAAAAGGAAAGTTTATAGCTATAAGTGCCTACACCAAATAAGAAGACAAACTTCAAATAAACAACCTAACAATGCACCTAAAAGAACTAGAAAAAGAAGAGAAAACCAAACTCAAAATTAGTAGAATAATAATAATCACAGCAGAAATTGAAATGAAGAAAACAATGCAAAAGATTAATGAATCAAAAAGTTTTTTTCAAGAGTTAAACAAAATTGGCCAACCTTTAGCCTGACTGAAAAAAAAGAGAGAGAGAGAGAAGATCCAAATAAATAAAATCAGAAATGAAAAAGGAGATATTACAATGGATACTCTAGAAATTCAAAGGATCATTAGTGGCTACTATGAGCAACTATATGCCAATAAATTGGAAAACCCAGAAGAAATGTACAAATTCCTAGACACATACAACCTACCAAGATTGAACCATGAAGAAATCCAAAACCTGAATAGACCAATAATAAGTAATGAGATCAAAGCCATAATAAAAAGTCTCCTGGTAAAGAAAAGCCCAGGACTCAATGGCTTCACTGCTAAATTCTATCATACATTTAAGAAAGAACCCATACCAGTCTAACTCAAACTATTCCAAAAAGTAGAGTAGGAAGGAATACTTCCAAACTGATTGTACAAGGGCAGTATTACCCTGATACGAAAACCATACAAAGACTCATCAAAAAAATAGAAAATTACAGGCCAGTATCAATGATGAATAATGATGCAAAAATCCCCAACAAAATACTAGCAAACCAAAATCCATAACTCCATAAAAGGGCCATTCATCATGACCAAGTTGGATTTACCCCATTATGCAAGGAAGGTTCAACATACACAAATCAATCAATGTGATACATCATATCAACAGAATGAAGAATAAAAGCCATATGATCATTTAAATTGATACTGAAAAAGCATTTGATAAAATTAAACATCTCCTCATGATAAAAAAAAAAAACTCAAAATACTGGGCATAGAAGGAACATACCTCAACATAATAAAAGCCCTATATAACAGACCCACAGCTAGTATCATACTAAATGGAGAAAAACTGAAAGCCTTTCCTCTAAGATCTGAAACAGGAAAAGGATGCCCACTTTTACCACTGCATAGTACTGGAAGTCCTAGCTAGAGCAATCAGACAAGAGAAAGAAGGAAAGGGCACCCAAATTGGAGTGGAAGAAATCAAATTATCCTTGTTTGCAGATGATATGTTCTTGTATTTGGAAAAACCTAAAGACTCCACCACCAAAAAACTATTAGAACTGATAAAGTCAGTAAAGTTGCAGGCTACAAAATCAACATACAAAAATCAGTAGCATTTCTACATACCAACAGGTAACTATATGAAAAAAAAAATCAAGAAAGTAGTCCCATTTTTAATCACTACACATAAAATAAGATACCTAGGACTAAAATTAAAGAAGTCAAAGATCTCTACAATAAAAACTATAAAACTCTGATGCAAGAAATTGAAGAGGACACCAAAGAAAGGAAATATATTCCATGTTCATGGATTTGAAGAATCAATATTGTTAAAATGTCCATACTGTTACATGCATCCATGTGAAGAGACCACCAAACAGGCTTTGTGTGAGCAATGAGGCTGTTTATTCACTTGGGTGCAAGTGGGCTGAGTCCAAGAAAGGAGTCAGCAAAGGGAAATAGGGATGGGGCAGTTTTATAGGATTTGGGTGGGTAGTGGAAAATTAGTTATAGGTGGTTATCTCTTGTGGGCAGGGGCGGGGGTCATAAGGTGCAGGGTGGGAGATGATGAGACTCATTGTCCAGGGGAGGGATGTCACAAGGTCAATTGATTAGTTAGGGTGGGGCAGGAACAAATCACAATGGTGGAATGTCATCAGTTAAGGCAGGAACTTCTTTTGTGGTTCTTCTTTTGTGGTTCTTCAGTTGCTTCTTTTGTGGTTCTTCTTTTGTGGTTCACTTCTTTTGTGGTTCTTCAGTTGCTTCAGGCCATCTGGATGTATACATGCAGGTCACAGGGGTTATGATGGCTTAGCTTGGCCATCATATGTATTAGAGGTATGTGTTAGAGGCCTGACACATACTACCCAAAGTGATATACACATTCATTGCAGTCTCTATCAAAATACCAATGACACTCTTCACAGAAATAGAAAAAATAATCCTAAAATTATGTGAAACCAGTAAAGACCCAGAAGAGCCAAATCTACCTTAAAGCCCCCCTCCAACAAAAAAAAAAAAAAAGCTGGAGGAATCACTTTACCTCACTTTAAATTATACTATAAAGCTAGAGTAAACAAAACAGCATAGTACTAGTATATAAACAGATACATAGACTATGGAACAAAATAGAGAACCCAGAAACAAATCCACACACCTACAGTGAACTCATTTTTGACAAAGGTGCCAAGAACATACACCGGGGGAAAAAGTAGTCTCTTCATTAAATGGTGCTGAGAAAACTGGATATCCGTATGCAGAAGAAGGAAACTAGACCTTTATCTCTTGCCATATACAAAAATCAAATAAAAATGGATTAAAAATTAAGCCTAAGACCTCAAACTATAAAACTACTACAAGAAAACAGTGGAGAAAGTCTCCAAGACATTGGAGTGAAAAATTTATTCAGTAATATTTCACAAGCACAGACAACCAAAGCAAAAAAATGGGCAAATGGGATCACATCAGGTTAAAAGCTTCTGCACAGCAAAGGAAACAACAAAGTGAAGACAAAACCTAAAGAATGGGAGAAAATATTAGCAAACTACCCTTCTGACAAGGGATTAATAACCAGAATACATAAGGAGCTCAAATAACTCCATAGGAAAACAACTAATAATCCCATCAAAAAATGGACAAAAGATTTGAATAGATATTTCTCAAAAGAAGACATACAAACGGTAAACAGGCATATGAAAAGGTTCTCAACATCACTGATCATCAGAGAAATGCAAATAAAAACTACAATGAGATATTATCTCACCCCTGTTAAAATGGCTTTTATCCAAAAGGCAGGCAATAACAATTGCTGGCAAGCATGTGGAGAAAAGGGAACCCTCATACACTTGATGTACAAATGGTAGTGGTAATGGAAATTAGTATAACCACTATGGAGAACAGTTTGGAGGTTGCTCAATAAACTAAAAATATAGTTACCATGTGATCCAGCAATCCTACTGCTGGGTATGGGCCCAAAAGAAAGGAAATCAGTATATGGAAGAGATAATCTGCAGTCCTAAGTTTGTTGCAGCACTCTTCACAATATCCAAGACTTGGAAGCAACCTAAAATGTCCATCAACAGATGAGTAGATAAAGAACATGTGGTATGTATATACAATGGAGAACTAGTGAGCCATAAAAGATAATGAAATCCTGTTATTTGCAACAACATGGATAGAACGGGAGGTCATTATGCTAAGTGACATATGCCAGGCACAGAAAGACAAACACCACATGTCCTTACTTATTTGTAGGGAAAAATCAAAACAATTGAGCTCATGGAGATAGAGAGCAGAAGGATGGTTACCAGAGGCTGGGAAAAGCAGTGTGAACATACAGTGGAGGAGGGGATGGTTAATGGGTACAGAAAAATAGAAAGAATGAATAGGCCAGGCACAGTGGCTCATGCCTGTAATCCTAGCACTTCGGGAGGCCGAGGCAGGTGGATCACTTGAGGTCAGGAGTTCGAGACCAGCCTGGCCAACATGGTGAAACTCCATCTCTACTAAAAAATACAAAAATTAGCTAGAAATTGCTTGAACCCAGGAGGCAGAGGCTGCAGTGAGCCGAGATTGTGCCACTGCACTCCTGTCTGGACAACAGAGCAAGACTCCTGTCTCAAAAATAAAAATAAAAATGAATAAAACCTAGTATTTGATAGCACAACAGAGTGATTATAGTCAATAATTTGATGTAGGTTTAAAAATAACTAAAAGAATATAATTGGATTATTTGTAACAGAAAGCATAAATACTTGGGATAGATACCGCATTTTACGTGACGTGATTATTATTCATTGCATGCCTGTATCAAAACATCTCATGTATGCCATAAATATATACATCTATGTACCTACAAAAAGTAAAATTAAAAATTTTTAAAAAGAAAGAAAAGAAATGCCAGAAAGACACACAATAAATTGTTTCTCTTATGGATAAATGCATGCAAACACTTGCGAAACCCACACAGGGACTGGCAGATAATCTTAAGAATGCCCATGTTGGTAGGCACTTAAACTTCATTGTCTCTTTTGTAGACAGAGCACTATACATAGAAAATGCCTCAATATATATATTGAGTTCTACACTAAAGTATTTTTTTCTTTTAATTTTATTTTTTAAGTTCCAGGGCATATGTGCAGAATGTGCAGGTTTGTTACATAGGTAAACATGTACTATGGT